>NC_000015.10:87350369-87501884 GCF_000001405.40 Homo sapiens | reverse complement strand
AACTGGGATTATTTATTTATTTCGGTACCAACGAATCTATTTTTCACTCAATGGAGATTTTCCATTTTTGGCCCACAGCAATATCCGGAGAGAGAGAGAGAGATTCCTGTAGAATACAAGACAAGACTATCACAATGGTGAGTAATAAAAAGATAAAATCAAACATATCTTCCTCTGTTGAGTGTGGGGAAACATTGGCAAGGTTGATACAAGCTTAACTATAGACGCTTTGAAAGCATCCACCGATGTTTAACACGTGAAGGGAAAATACTGCTGCAAGCTCCAATTCTAAGCTGCAGTGGATGAATGAGCTAAGAGAGGTGGAGAATGGAGAAAAGAGAATGTGTTCTCCTCTCCATAATTAAAAGTGAAAGGAGCTTGTGGGTAAGAAAGATGGGGCAGAATGGAGCCATCCATCTGGGTAGCCTCTCTTCCCGCATTCCCTTTTAACCAGGGCTGAGTATGTGATTGCTGCTGAGGACAAGCAGTGGATAAAAACCAAGTAGGTGAAATGCCTTGCATTGCACATTCAAGGCAGGTCCCCAGTGGCTAAAAGGCTGGCATGGAGCTGGACCAGAAAATGTAAATGCGTTCAGTTCATAGGCACGCAAACTCAAGTTCTTAGAGTATAGCAAAACTCCCAAGGCCTCTCCAGAAGCTGGGGGAAGATTTGAGTTAATCTACTTCAATTTTATTTTATTCTGAGGGTTTTTTTAAATTTTTTGTTTTTAGATGCTTTTTATTTTTCCTTGTAGAGAAACCCTTGTTGTATCAAATGCCCTCTCTGGGCTTTAGAACTTCATTAATTAGCATCTTTTAAATGGTTGGGTAATATTCTTTTCTCCCTTTTCCAAGCCATTTCCCCAAGCCTTAATTTTAATAAAGCTGGTGTTCATGAACATTTGAATTTTAAAGCCCTTGGTTATAAGAAAGACAGAAGATGCATTTTAAAAGAAAGCCAATCAAGGATGACTCAAATGATGAACAGGACTTCTCTGCTTTTATGAGTCTACTTTTCAAGATCCAATATTATCTTAAGATACTTTTTTTTATTTTTTTCCCCTGTAGATAGAGAGCAACCTAAAAAAAATATGCAGACTTGATTAGCGGGGCAGAGACACTGGGGAGGAGTTACTCTGGCATATTTTAGTGTGGGTGGCAATTTCATTTAAAATAGAGCAATAATAAACCTGTTTTTATTTTTTTCATAGAAGCACTACATTTCAAGCAGTAAAGGTGAACCATTTAAGAGCTTTTTAAAAAGAGAACACATGACTAAAACTCTTTAAGATCCCAAATTGTTCATAGAATTTATGCAGCGATGAATACATTTGCCAGTGTAGACTGTTAAAGGCAGAATGCTTGGAAATCGACTCCACGGTTACCCACCTGCCTGGTGCAAGGTTGTGCGTTTCCCCAGCAACTGGGATAACATCATAACCGCTTACAGTGCTGCAGAGCCTGCAGCCCCCTGGGCGGCTTCAGGTGGTAGTGATGCTATCAGCTGTTGCCAGGGCAACGAAAAACCTTGACCTTCTGAGACCTGCCAGGCAAGGAGTGGAGAAATACAGATTTTGAGTCCTGTCTGGAGGTCTGCTGGTGATTAAAGGAATATAATTATGTAGCTATCTGCCACTAAATTACTTATTAAATTCACATACACATACAAATCAATGCATAATACCTAAATAATGCATACATGCTTGCAAGCAGTCTCCATTTAGTAGGTAGAGGGTGCTTCCATATTTGGAAGTGGTAAATGTTTTTATACCTTCCATGGAATCTACCGGTTGGCATTTGGTGGTAAGATATTTCCCCCAGTCTTCCCAACCTCATCAACTACTCAGGATTTTTACCTCCTGATTCCAGAACCTGGAAGAAGTATTGAAGAGGTAAATCTGCAGTTACTCTTAAAATGTTTTACATGTCAGAGAGATGAGGTCCCAGAGCAGTGAGGTGATTTGCCTTAGATCATACAGATTTAGGGAAAGAGAAATAGGCTTGTGCTTCTCTTGTGTGTGTCCCTTTTCATCCTAACTTACACTGGCTGCCTGCATATATATATATATATATATATATATAATATGTGTATATATATATGTGTGTATATATATATGTGTGTATATATATATGTGTGTATATATATATGTGTGTATATATATATGTGTATATATATATGTGTGTGTGTATATATATATATATATATATATATATATATATAATGAATATCTTTCAGTTTTTCGTTCTGCAAAGTATTTCCTCGGCTTCTGAAGCACCATCTTTTCTGACATCTTTCTACACTATTATTGACCGAATCCCCATTGTCTTCTATCTTGAGTGTTTTTGGAAGGGAATGCAGGAGGTATCTGTCTATGTACCTATTGGCTTATGATGACCTCAAGTACCTCTACTTTAGAGCTAAAGGAAGTACAATCCAATCTTTCTTCAAAGTTTATTATCCTCCCTGTCATCCTGGAAATTACCCCTGCTTACTTCCTGAAGAGTAGTTTCAGCACCTTTGGTATCCTGAATATTGGGGAACCAATGGGGGACTCATTTAAACCATGTCAGTGTTCTGAGTTTTATTGATCACTGTATACTCCCTTCTCTCCAAATGTAGAGTGTTTTGATGGTGTTCAATTACCATTTCTCATTCACTCAGTTTAGTTTTATGCTTACAACACCTTAATGTATTGTGAGAAGAAAAGGATTCTGAAAAGCTCACCTTTCTGGAAAAATAAACATTGGCCCTACTTATTAATTTTTGTAGTAGCTCTATCTTGGTGCTGGTACAACAGGCTCGGTGATTGCCTAGGAGAGAGGACTGTGATATAATTCTAGATGCAAATAATAAAGCCATATTTCACCTAGCAACGATATAATGGGGGACGGTCAGACCATTAGTGGGCATCAAGACAGAATAAACTATGCTTCCAGTGTACTTACTCCATGAGGAAAGACCCTTTTCATGATTCCGTTCCTCGTGAAAGAGAGTAAATCTGTTTTTCTTCCCTTCTGGTAATTGCATTTTTAGACACAATTGCCGGCATCCCACAGGTGGGGATATTGGATTCCACTGAGGATTTGATGTAGTAACTCAGCTCTTGGCTTTTTTTGTGGTGCTAAATGCCATTTTGCTGAGTAATCAGCATGTTTTCCGAGTGAATGTGGTGCGCCATCTGCAATCTGTTTACTTAACTTCATGAGCTCCATTTCTTCAAAGGTGAAGAGCAGAGCTTTTAAACAGAAATTTGAAATGGGTTCTTAACAGAACCTTGCTTGTTACTTACAGAGTCAGAGACTATTAAAATACAAAGAACTTGAAAAAAAGAAGAATTCAGTTACTTTGGATCACTGATCATCATCCCTGAATTGATGTAATTTGTTTAAATTGCTGAGCGGAACCCAGAGTTCTGGGTTTCGCATTCAGCTTGTAACTACTTTTATTTTTGTAGCACTTAGGCTCTCTCTAAAGCTACTGTTTACCTTTCTAAGTTGCATTCAGGAAAGCCTGATAGATAAAAATCCAAATTTGCAAAACAGATCAATTAGTGGACCAGTATTCCAACCACAGAGAAAATTCACAGCGTGGCTCGTTAAATAAAATCATGCTTCACTGGTGAGTTTGAAATAGAATTTGATTTCCCCCATTGTATAGGTGAAGAAACTGAGATTAGAACTGTCTCCCAAATATAAAAATTTGGTTCACACACAACCTTTGAGGAATATATCTATTATGTAAAAGATGATATGCTTGCATGCAGAGAATGATGTCAGTGACACAAATTCTCAGTGGGAAAACTGTCATAAGATTTGAGATTCTGCTGTAAAATCCCTGAGTCTTCCAAAGTTCTTGTTATAAGTGAAACAAACCTTTCACTTATCTCTGGAGATTGTCTCCCGTTTCTCTATGTACCACCAAACTGAGAAAAGCTGAACTGCCATCTTCTGGAAACATCTCAGCATTCATCCACAAGCGTGTACCTAGCCAAGTCAGTAAAGCTAAGAGAGAAGAAGCAGGGGAATAATTATATTTTATATGTAAACCATTGTTTTCTTGCTCACTTTACCCAAAGTGACCTTGTGTATAATGTGACCCCACCTCTTGGCCACAGCAAATTAGCCTAGAGGTGAACCCCACTCCAGTCAAACCTATTGCATTCTCCGTCCATCAAATTGGAATTAAATGACATAGACAGGAAGTCAGTCTAGTGGTTGTGGGTGCTAGAATCAAAGGGTCATGTAACCTTTGGGCTGGAGGATACCGTCAGTTATATGAACAGTAATAATAAAACAGAGAAAGCTAAAAGTTATAGAAAGAAGAGATGCTCAAAACGATGCAGCATCTGGAATCCATGTGGCTAGGAGAGTTCTGCTTGAAAAGTTTTCAGTAGCTGTAAGATCCTGATTCTACTTCCTCACCTTTATTTTAGTATGCATATCTTTATATGAACTTTTTCTGGAGCTAGTTCTGAATGAGTTTGGTCTCTTTTGCAACTTCAGGAGCCCCCAGCATCCTGTTCTTTGTGAAACAGCCTTCCGTACAATGCTTAGTTTCATCAGTGAGCTATTTTGAATGTGATTAATAAATTCAAAGATTGCACTATCAATTATTTTCAACTAGGATCTCCTGATCCCTAGACATTTGTCCATTTCAGGATTCTCCCAAACCATGGCTTAGGGTTCACCTTATTCTTTCCCACATTTTTCTGCAAATATCTGGGGCTGCTATTCTCCCAAGCCCATTGTACTCATACTTTCTGTATCTGTAAATATTATTTCTTTTACCGTCCATTGGTCTAGATGCAAAAGTCAGCCCTTTAAACTTTCCAAAGATAATACACTCGCAAAGTCCTTCAAAAGCATATTACTCAACACTTTGGGTCATAGGGAGGGTTTCTGTTATGTAATGTGCAGCAAAACATAACAAACAACAACTCCCAAATCTCTAAAAACATCTTGGATATCACTATTCTCTGAGCTCCCTTTTCAGACACTGCCACCAGGATTGTACCTTTTAAAATATTTTTTCCCATACTACTTCCATCTTGATATTCTTCTCTGCTTTCTCTCTCCTGTTTCTCTCTCATATAACCTCTCTTTTGTCATCTGGCCTTTTCCTCCTCAAAGAAACATAGAAATCCTTCTTCATTTTTAAGGCAGATGAGATGCTTTCCTCTCTCAGAAAACTTGGCAATAGCCAGGGCCTAAGCCTTGGCAAACACAACTTCTCACCAGGATTTAATAGGTATTTTCTCAAAGCCTGTGTCCTCTGTAAGTAGAATTCTAGTTCCAGCTGCCAAGGTAGCCATGAGAGTGATAGTAGTAGTCATAGTCATTCTCTCTCAATACTCTGATACATCAATTCACATCATGTGGACTTTATACCATCAATGATTTTCAATCAGTCCTTCATTATGGAGCTGCCTCATGGGCCTCTATCTGGCAGAGAGAGAGTGACTGAGCTGGGGAGGATCCTGGTCCCTTAAGATCCACCAAATCCAGAGCCTCACAGAGTGCCTCTGCTTCACACAATAGAGTTGTATGAAAGAATATATTTGAAGAGAAAGGTCACACTGCTAAAAATAGCTTATAACCTCCTGAAAAAAGACATGAGATGCCACTGAAGAATTTTAAGCAGGGCAGTGACAAGATTTAACTCACTGTGGTGGGACCGAGAGGAGAGGCCCTGGGGTTAGGGTATCCAGTTAGGGAATTCACACTGGGGCCTAGCAAGATGGTGAGAGCCTGAATCAAGGGGATAGCTGTTGGAACGGAGAGGAAAAGTCACTGGACTTGGTGGCCAATATGACTTTAGGATTTAAGCAAGAGGAAGGCATCCTGTATCTACAATATTTCTAACCTTGTGACAAGGTGAATCTTGGTGCCACTACTGAAAGGAGGGAGTAAGGTAGGAGAGCTTGATTTTGGAGGGTAGGTGGGGATGTAGGTTTGACCCTGTATATTTTGAAATCATTGTGCTTTCTGAATCTGCATCTAAAAATGGGTAGCAGCCAGGTGTACACATGAACCTGTTGCTCAAGAGAGAGTTTAGATTGGAGCTACTGATTTGGGAATCATTCATGATACAGGGTCACTTCAAGGCATGGAGTGAGAAAGATTAGGAATGAGAAGAGAGGACTTTTAAGCATGAGAAATGGGGAACATGCACATTGAATGCCAAGAAAGAAGCAGAGGGGCCTGAGAGGGATGGGACAGAGAGGCAATAAAAGAAACCAAAGGGTAAGTTATAGAAGCTAAGGGAAGAGAAAGTTGGAGTGGGGAGCTTGGTCAAATATTAACATGAAATCATGCAAGTTGTAGCCTGGCAAGTGTCTTTGTATTTGGCACTTAGAATGTTGATAAGATCTAAGAAGGCTATGGCTGCAGAAACCAGGTATTGGAGTGTAACTAGGAA
Organism: Homo sapiens; assembly: GCF_000001405.40. Lineage (NCBI taxonomy): Eukaryota > Metazoa > Chordata > Mammalia > Primates > Hominidae > Homo > Homo sapiens. The sequence continues at coordinate 87,495,466 of NC_000015.10, read as the reverse complement.
ATGACAAACAGAGGAAGCAAAGGAGAGGGAAGGATGGCAGAATGGGAGTTTGAGGACAATTACAGGCAAAGAGGAAGAAGCCAAGGGATAAGAGATAACAAAAGTCAAAGAAAGAGCGGACCTAATAGATAGACAAGTGACTCAAAAGAAGTTAGAATGACTGGGATTATGAACACCAGGGGAGGTGCTCACCACGGAGAAGGGACACCCCTTCAAGAACATCAAAATAGATAAAGACACATTGGAAGACTCTTTGAAATTTTTACAGTGTGTTTTTTTCATTTTAAATTTATAAAGTGCTTCTATGGGTTGAATGTTTGTGTCCCTCCCATCACCCAACTTCCACAATTCATATGTTGAGTCCTAATCCCCAGCGTGATGGTATTAAGAGGTGGAGGCTTTGGGAGATGATTAGGTCATAAGAGTGCTGCCCACATGAAAGGAATTAATGCTCTTATAAAAACAGCTTTCAGTGAGCTTGTTTGCTCTTTCTGCCATATAAGGTTACAGCTAGAAGGCACCATGTTCACAGCAGAGGGTGAGTCCTCACCACACAATGAATCTGCTGGTGCCTTGTTCTTGGACTTCCCGGCTACCAGAACTGTGAGCAATAAATTTATGTTGTTTGTAAATTACCCAGTCTATGATATTTTTGTTACAGCATCCCAAATACACTAAGACAAGTGCTTTGTGTAATTTCATTTGTAAAAGCCCCTACAGCCCTGAGATTCATGCCATAATTGTGTAAAAGGAGAAACTGAGGGAGAGAACCATGATATCCGACACCTAATCATCATATTGCAAATGGATGCTTCAGAATGCATGGTGATATTTCATTCAAACAGCCAAGGCAATCTTAATGGCATCAGCCTAGTGACTGAAAGGAGCTGAATGGTTATCAGACAGCTTAGCGCCTGGCTGGCCTCATGACAGAAATAACTGAATTGACTGAAAAAATATTCAGATTGTTGGAGTCATTCAGATAGTCTCAGACTGTAACTCAATTGGAACAAATGAAGACCAGTAAAGTTTGCATCTTTGCATTAACACAGAAGCAGCCAGCTGAAAAGTTTAAAATAAAATAAAATGTAAAAAATTAAACTGTTTATGTGATACATAAAATTCTATGAAAGTAGGTCTGATATTTGGTTTTCACTGAATTAAAAGAACAAGCCAGTTGTTTAGGTACTGTGTAGAAATAGCCAAAACCAAATGTACACCAGGGCTATTTATCTTCACTACCCACGATGTAAAAAATCAATATCACTCAGAAATGGTTATTCTCTTTTGTTGGGGAAATGGAGTGTAAGGGTATGGGAGAAGTTTATTGGATGGAGAAGGATTCTGTGATGGTATGGTCATAATGGAGTTTAAGCTTAATTATGACAGTAGCACACTCATGAGAGTTTTAATTCCACATAGGTAGTTTACTGAAGACAGCTGTCAGGTGACTAATGGAGGTTTGGCTATGACTTCATAATCCACACAGCTAGGCTTTTGCCCTAGGTATACAAACTGGCTGACATTAGCAGGCTTTCTCACTTGATAATCTTCTTTTATAACCAAAACTGATCAGTTTATTAAAAGAGTTAAGCACAGCAACAGCAAAGAGCCCTAAGTGTTTAAAGAATATAAATACAGAAAGTAAGACTTTAAAGATTCAGGCAGATTCAATTGGATTTTTTTTTAAGTTTGCTTTAGTTTTTATAAATACTCAACTGGAATGAGTATTTTATAAATACTAGACTGAAATCTATAAGCTAATAATTCTTTTCAGGGAAATACTGATTAGAGATGATCATTCAGGGTGCACTTTAAGTCTACCAATACCTTCTTACTTGTAGCTCAATCCCGATAAATGTCAATTAAGGGTCCAGTTGCCTTTCCATGCCTCCTAACCAGAGGATCTTGGAGCAGCATGTTCTGACCAACTCTTGAAAATAAAAGTTTCTATCCTCCTAGGAAAATTTGCTCTGTCATCAAGGCAAAAATAACTATAAGAGCTGGTCTTAAATATGCTTCATTGATCAGTGACAACTAGCTCAAGTAATCCAACTTCTGAAGGGTAAGCCCATCAGTGACAACACCATGTTTCTGAAATCAGTCAATTGGCAACGTCCTCATTCTAGTGACTGCCTTTCTGAAAGTCAGCCAATCAGAACCAGCCTCACTTGAGTGCCTAAACTTCTGCAGCTAAAGTTCAAGCAATCCCTACACACTAATTGCTTGTTAAAGTCCCCCAGTCCAGAAACTCCATACTTTCCCCAATCCTATATGGACTCAGCTCTCTGCTTTGCTCCCCAAGACTGCACCTTATACACACAGCTTTCTCTTGAAATAATAATTTGGCTTTTTGTTTCAGATAAGGGTGGATTAGGCATAGCTATCCCTGAGAGCTGCATGCTGATGCACTTGTGGGTGACAGAATTTTCAGTTGGTACTTTTCTCAATGGACTTCTATAAGACTGGCCTTTCCATCTGATCTGCCTTAGTTTCTTCATTCTTCTCACTCCCAGTGTACTACCAATTTATCTTGGACCATAGAGCATTTTGATAAGAATAAAAAAGCATCTGAGCTGGTATTGGTGCAGGAGAGAGAGAGCATCTTTGTAAAATTACTGTAGTAAAAAAGTGCAGTTAGACTGGGTCAACCATTATATCACCATGGGAACTAATTCTAATCTCATTGTGACTCTGTTTCCCCATTAATAAAATGCTAATTATTGAAGCTACTTTCTTGTTCAAGGTGAAATTAATTTAAGATATGCAAAGCGTGTCATTTAGTGCTTGGAATATAAACTATTTTAAATAATGAATGTTCTATTTCTTCTAGGAATCTAACAAATCCTGATGGTTTGGCTCTCTCTCTCTCTCTTTAGTATTTATGCTTTCAGAGGTATTTTCAGTTTCTGAGACAGTGAGTCTTGACTGCAGCTGCATACTTCAAATACTTCATAAACTAGGAACAACAGCAGCAAAAGTTTAAAAATAACACATACTGGTGAGGTTGTGGAAAAAAAGGGAACACTTTTATACTGCTAGTGAGAAGGTAAATGAGTTCAGCCATTGTGCAAAGCAATTTGACTATTTCTCAAAGAACTCAAAACAGAACTACCAATTGACCCAGCAGCCCCATTACTGGGTATATATCCAAAGTGATAGAAATCATTCTACCGTAAAGACACATGCATGTTTATGTTTATTGTAGCACTATTCACAGTAGTGAAGACATGGAATCAACTTAAATGCCCATCAGTGGTAGACTAGATAAAGGAAATGTGGTATGTATATACCATGGAATACTACACAGCCATAAAAAAGAATGAGATCATGTCTTTTGCAGTAACATGGATGGATCTAGAGGCTATTAAGTGAACTAACACAGGGCAGAAAACCAAATACTACATGTTCTCACTTATAAGTGGATGTATTAGTCTGTTCTCATGCTGCTAATACAGATATACCCAAGACCGGGTAATTTATAAAGGAAAGAGGTTTAATTGGCTCACAGTTCAGCATAACTGGGGAGGCCTCAGGAAACTTACAATCATGGTGGAAGGGAAAGCAAACACGTCTTTCTTCACATGGTGGCAGCAAGGAGAACTGTAGAGGGAAGTAGGGGAAATGCCCCTTTTAAAACCATCAGATATCATGAGAATTCACTCACTGTCATGAGAACAGCATGGAGGTAACTGCTTCCATGATTCATTTACCTTTCACTGTGTTCCCCTCCATGACATGTGGGGATTATAGGAACCACAATTCAAGATGAGATTTAGGTGGGGACACAGCCAAACCATTTCATTCCTGTATTAGTCTGTTCTCACGCTGCTGTGAAAAAATACCTGAGACTGGGTAATTTATAAAGGAAAGAGGTTTTATTGACTCACAGTTCTGCAGGGCTGGGGAGGCCTCAGGCAACTTACAATCATGGCAGAAGAGGAAGCAAACATGTCCTTCTTCACATAGTGGCAGCAAGAAGTGCAGAGTGAAGGGGAAGAAAACCCCTTGTAAAACCATCAGATCTCAGGAGAACTCACTTACTATCATGAGAACAACATGGAGGTAATAGTCCCCATGATTCAATTACCTCCCACCGACTCCCTCCCATGACATGTGGGGATAATGGGAACTACAATTCAAGATGAGAATTTGGGTGGGATCACAGCTAAACACATATAAGTGGGAACTAAAGATTGAGTGCACATGGACACAAAGAAGGGAACAGCAGACACTGGGACCTACTTGCGGGTGGAGAGTGGGAGGAGGGTGAGGATCGAAAAACTACCTATTGGGTATTATGCTTATTATCTACGTGACAAAATCACCAGTACACCAAACCCCTGTGACATGCAATTTCCCTGTATAATAAACATGCACATGTGCCCCTAAACCTAAAATAAAAAGTAAAATAGTGAGGGTTCTATTTCATCGAAGACTGTCAAATCCCCCCCTTTTTTTTTTTATTCTTTAGTAGTTTAGCCTTTAGTACTTTCACTTGTAGAGGAGTTTTTAGTCTATGGGACAGTGAATCTTGACTGCGCAGCTACACACTTGAAATATTTCTTAAACTGTAAACAACAGCAGCAACGGCAGCAATAAAAACCCAGTGATTCATATGTAGTAGATCTGGAGTGGGGCTTAAGCATCTACATTTTCAAATCCTATGTGAGTGATTCTCATATGTATCCAAGATTAAGGAAAGAGGAGTCCCGTTTCAAGGCTCAGAGGTAAAAAGAAGATCATCCTGTGTTTTCCCAATTGTCTGATGCTATTCACTGGGGCAGGAGCAGTGAGCTGTAGTGAGAAATACATGGCTAAGGAGGTAGGGATTGGAGCAAATGCTCTTTCCATGCTCTTTCCTGTGCCTATAGCATAATATTTGTCATGTGGAAGGTTTAAATAATTAATGCTTAAAGTTCAGAAATAAAACATCTGTTGTTTTGTTTTGTTTTGTTTTGTTTTTATGAATCCCTTCAGACTATAAACACTGAGAACTACTGGTCTAGACCTCTCTCCTAAGATTGAGACCTGTGAGGCCCTTCCATGTAGACATATTGTGGACTCAGCCCAACTCCAGGCTTCTGCAACCAGACTGCTTGGTTTAGAATCTGGCTCTATGCCTGACCAACTGTGTGTCTTCAGTTATTTTTCCCCCATCTCATAGTGGCAGTGGGAAAATCCCATGAGATTAATATTTGGAAACACATAAGTGACCAACAAAGAGATAAACCTCAATAAATGTGGTTATGATTATATTAGTTATCCAATTTATTAATCTTTCCCCCATACCCACTTTCCTCAGTTATACCCTGTGTAGTGAATGGTAGAACCAGCCCTGATTGCTCAAGTGGAACACCTGGGGGCAGCCTTTGACATCTCCCTCTAATCTATCCTCTATGTCTAGTGCACTTTCTGACACTGTCGGAAATGACGATGTTTTTTCTTACCATCACTCAGTTCAGGCCATGTTTGACTTTGTCCAGGACTCCTACAACAGATCCCTCTTGGGTCTCCCGACTCTAGTCTTACGTAAAACTGCACACTCAGTGTGCAGCTTGCCTCCAGACTCAGCTTTCCAAACTGCAGAGAAAATTATGTCATTGCCTTGCTTGAAACCCTCAGTGACTTCCAATTGTTCTTGGGATACTGTGAAAACCTCCTCATACATTGAACAAGGTCTTGCTTCTTTGGCCTTTGTTAACCTCTTCAAGTCTCAGCTCTTTGACACCCTCCTTGCACAATATGCTGCATCAGTTTGGACCTCCCTTCTGTGCTGTAGCTGTGCCAAACTTCTCTGAACATCCCCCAGTGTCATTGTCTCCATCTGGAGCACTTTCACTGTGAATGCAGAATGAAGCATATGAGATGCAGGAGGATTGGAACCCAAAGGAGATGTTGATTATTTCAAGAGCCCTCCTGTTCTAAATTCTCACATTCTATATTAAAAATACTTGCCTCCTGGGTTGGTGATGATGATGATAATGATTGGTGGTTTCTATCCACCCTTTAATTTCGTCAGCAAGCTCCAGCTGCTAACTCAGAGTCTCTCAAAATAATTTAATGTTCTGTTCCAGTGCTCAAGGAAATTATTGTAACATTCTCACTCAGTACCTTCTTGATCTCTTGTTTGGATTCCATTTCTAATCACCAGTTGGCCTCTGTAAAGCCTTCTTTTATTCTTGCTTCTCACTTCTGGATTTGATAGATTTTTGTTACCCTTTTGCTTAAACTTCAGCTTTTCACAGTGGACTTTGGGTTGCTAGATTGTCCTTGGCAACTGGAGTTGTATTCAGCAGGAATCCTCTATTCCTAACCCAGTCCTGTAAAACCCAACCCAGAGCCAATCTCTGGCCAGAACTCCAGGATCTGCTTTGACTGCCCTTGGAATTAAAAAAGTAAGACATTAATCATTGGACTGCTAGGCAATTCTTTCAGAATGATAATCTATAATTAGTAGGCTCAAAATTGAACTTGATTTTCTTAACAGTAAAGTAGAAAATGCCCAGGTTTTAAGATTTTAACTGTGTGTGTGTGTGTGTGTGTAAACATCTAAATGAGAAGAACAAGAAATACAAACCTAATTGTAGCACTAATAATGAAGGAAATCTTGCCAGACAAATTTTAACTTCATTATTGGCTTTAATTAGCAAATGAGTGGACAAATAGAATACAGTGAATGTCCCTGGTCTTGACTTGATTAACACATTGCACAGAGCACTTCACAAAACGATAGCCCATCAGGGCATTTAAATTGTCTTAGAAGTGAACATTTGCAGCAGTGGAGAACTGGCTGGCTGCATGCAGAGGGAACGTACTAGAAATGACAGGCTTTTGGGAATATGTTGACATGGACCCTGTCTTATTCAGCATCTTTCGTAATGATGTGGAAGGGGAAGCACACAGTGTATTAATTAAATTTGACAAGGATGCTGATTTGGTTAACAGAGTGAACCTAGAGGGTTTACAACATGGTAAGAAAATAGGAAGAAGAAAATACAGTTTGGAAAAATGCAAATAGTGCATTCTGGGAGAATTAAGCCATTAGAAAAATATTCAGGGATCCTGATACGATAACTGGGGCACATTTAAGGAAATAGAGATGGAAAGGCCACACTTGTTTTCCTTCCCCAAGTGGGGCATGCCGCATCACTTCTTATACATCCCCTAAGGCTAAATAAAATCTGTACCACTGATAAGGCTTCAGCAAGAGAATTTTTTTTTTTTACTGAGATTAAGATATTGGGAGTTGATGGTTTCTATACATTTTACTTAAATGGTTCTTTATCTCAGCTATATCTCACTACCATTGTAGTTTTTAATCACTTGCCAACCTTCTGTATAATGGCTTCCTCTTATGGGCAGAGGGCATCTCTTTGGGGTCAGATACCCTTTTCATCTCTATTCTGCCAGGGTTTTTCATTAGGGTTTGGGGCTGCCTGCAGATAGGGATTAATTTCTACTTTGTCAACTATATTAAAATGACTTGTTAAAATAGTCAAAACTTTGCATTTGTTTTTCCTAATGGTATTCAGTTTCCTGGCTGCTCGCAGTGACCTTTCAAAGCCTGTTTATCCTGAGAATGTATGTCATAATTAATTTTGATTTATTCCTTTCCTTTGCACACCATTTAGAAAACATGTAATTGCTTTCTCAGTCTGTTCTTTCCTGCAACTCCATAGATTCCATAGATCTATTTTTGACCCAGGCTTTATCAGCCCTTACTTAGTCTGTTGGCTAGATCACATGTGTAACTATGTTAAAAATGGTTTGGTTCTAATATTAGGTTTTATGTTTTGTCAGTTACATGACGATGACCTTAAGGAATGAAGGATGCTCTATCCTGCTGAGTGATTTATCCTCAAGTGAGTATGAGAGAGTGACCCATAGGGTAGAGTAAGTGGTCTCTACTGAGAAAACAACCATTTCTACTGTTCATGCTTCCTGGCCATGAGTAGATGGTCGGTCACCCACAATAAATACGTTGCTTAGTGTTATAAGGTTCTCTTCTATAGGGTCCTGTAGGCCATTTTCAATTGCCTACTGTTAAGAGTGTTCTTCCCACCCTATAATTCTAAATGTAGAGTCATTTCCCTCAGCTGCATGAAGGAGTTTGGAAACAGGTAAGAGGGAGACTTCAAGCCCCTCAAATGTGCCTTGGAGCACTACCAAATGGCAGTATTTTGTCATTTAGCCCAGCGTCTTCCCTCAGTCCTTCAGGTGGCCTCCTAAGAGGTACTTAGAGGTGTGTCAGATATGGCCTCATATGCCATTTGCATTCTATGTCTCCTTTAAATTCTGCATGTGTGGGAAAAAATAAGTATCTCAGGTCTTTTGATCTAAAAACAAATTCGACCAAACCACAAAATTAGTGGTTGGCCTGGCACAGTGGCTTGAATCTGTAGTTGCAGCTACTTGGGAGGCTAAGATTGAAGGATTGCTTGAGGCCAGAAATTTGAGACTATAGTGTGCTGTGATCATGCCTATGAGTAGCTACTGAACTCTAGCCTGGACACTATAGTGAGACCCGTAACTCCAAAGAAAATTTTTTAAAACTTAGCACTTGGCTGGGCGCGGTGGCTCATGCCTGTAATCCCAGCACTTTGGGAGGCCAAGGCAGGTAGATCATTTGAGGTCAAGAGTTCGTGAGCAGCCTGGCTAACACGGTGAAACCCCATTTCTATTAAAAATACAAAAATTAGCTCAGCATGGTGGCATGCACCTATAATCCCAGGTACTTGGGAGGCTGAGGCACAAGAATTGCTTGAACCCAGAAGGCAGAGGTTGCAGTGAGCCAAGATCAAGCCACTGCACTCCAGCCTGGGTGATAGAGCGAGAGCGAGACTCCATCTCAAAAAAAACAAAAAACAAAAAAACGGCACTTGACTCATTGACTTAGTACAAATATGCTAATTTTATAAGTATTGGACTTTCAGCAACTTTCCTGATTTTTTCAAGTCCTTAATTTATCTGCCTAATAAACACAATAATTCTTGCTATGTAATGTTATTGCGAGGACTGAATGAAACAATAAGTTAAGCTCCTTGGTGCAGAAAGGTCCCTGCTATCAGAGTGCTATCAGTTGCCATTCACTTTCTCTGATCCTCATTTAATCTCATTTGCAAAAAAGCAAATTAGATTTGAAATAGCTTCTTGTTATTTGATGCCTGTTAGCATTTTGGTGAGAATTCAATGACCATGGAGGCAAAAGCAATTGGCAAATATAGAGCCATACTGTAGAAGTCTCAGGTGATCAGTTATTTTTGCTGGGTTCAAGGTGATTTTGTTATGTACCTGGAATTCACTTGGTCCGGATTGACTTAAAAAAAAAAAAGTCATAAACTAAGTAAAAAGTAAGAATGAACCAAACTGTATTTTTCCATTCCTTTAAACCTTTATTGCTTACATTTAAAGTTGAGAACCAGAATAGTTCCCCTGTCACCTAGGATGGGGTTGGCAATCATTTCCTTTGAAAATACAGAAGACATTTATGCAGCCAAAAAACACATGAAAAAATGCTCACCATCACTGGCCATCAGAGAAATGCAAATCAAAACCACAGTGAGATACCATCTCACACCAGTTAGAATGGCAATCATTAAAAAGTCAGGAAACAACAGGTGCTGGAGAGGATGTGGAGAAATAGGAACACTTTTACACTGTTGGTGGGACTGTAAACTAGTTCAAACCTTGTGGAAGTCAGTGTGGCGATTCCTCAGGGATCTAGAACTAGAAATACCATTGGACCCAGCCATCCCATTACTGGGTATATACCCAAAGGATTATAAATCATGCTGCTATAAAGACACATGCACATATATGTTTATTGTGGCACTATTCACAATAGCAAAGACTTGGAACCAAGCCAAATGTCCAGCAATGATAGACTGGATTAAGAAAATGTGGCACATATACACCATGGAATACTATGCAGCCATAAAAAATGATGAGTTCATGTCCTTTGTAGGGACATGGATGAAATTGGAAATCATCATTCTCAGTAAACTATCGCAAGAACAAAAAACCAAACACCGCATATTCTCACTCATAGGTGGGAATTGAACAAGGAGAACACATGGACACAGGAAGGGGAACATCACACTCTGGGGACTGTTGTGGGGTGGGGGGAGGGGGGAGGGATAGCTTTGGGACATATACCTAATGGAAATGACGAGTTAGTGGGTGCAGCACACCAGCATGGCACATGTATACATATGTAACTAACCTGCACATTGTGCACATGTACCCTAAAACTCAAAGTATAATAATAATAATAAAAAAAGAAAAGATAATACAGTTAGAAGATACCATAGGCCTGTAGGTCGTATGGTCTTAGTTGCAACTTTTCCACTCTACCATTATAGTGCAAACACTGCTATAGACAACACCCAAGCAGGAGTGTTTTCCAATACAATTTTACTTACAAAATCAGGTGGTGAGCTGGTTTGTCGTGTAGGTCATAGTCTCTGGATACCAATTGTACAATAATACAGACATGATGATGTTCTAAAAAATATTAAAATGCTTTTGAGCAAATCTAAAGAGCGATGGGTTCTCCCCACCACCTGACCCCAGGGATGAAGAACTCTAGCAAGGACCTAGTTGGAAAGCTATGTAAATTATTTCAGTAGTGTAAATAAATGGGCAAATTAAATTACTTAGACTACAAACCATCTGGTTGAATTTTTGGTTTGTCTATTTACAGTAATCATATTAAATGGATTATCATCTCAGACCAACTTCCCAGAGGTTTTTAGATAAAATCCTGAGTGGATAAATTATCCTTGAAGGACAAATCATCATCTTCAGCTTTTTCTTTTTTTATGGAAAGAGCCCACTTTAGAAAGTTTGAGAACATCTAGAACAAAGCAATGGGAATCATTAAAGCTCTGAAAAAAATTGTGAAGAGTACTCACAGTAATTATGGTTATTCAGCATGAAAAAGAGAAAATGAAGTCTTAAAACATGATGAGTTATTATATAGGCCTAATGTCTTCCAAGACCCCTTCTCTGAGTGTCACCTCCTAACCCCCACATTCTTCTTTTTCTTTTTTTTCCTTTCCCAATCCACTTTTAGAAGGGTTCTACTGAATTTAATGGGACAGAGGCTGTGTAAGTGACCATAAGAAAATATTTTTATTCTTTAGAAAAATCATTAGATAGTAGCAATCACCCAGAAAAAAAATCATTTTATTCTACAAGTGAGGAAACTGAGTCCCATACAAGTTTTACAACTTTTCAAAAGCACCCAGTTATCTGGTGACAGAACTGGATCCAGAAATTGAGAAGCCCAATTCCAAAGCCAGTGGCCTCTGTGATGTGACTCAGCAACTCCCCAAATCTTTATATTAATGAATGATTTGCAACTTACAGAGTATTCTATTTGGTGTTCTTCTTGATTCTCACCTCAGTTCTGTAAGGTAGGTGGCCTTGCGTGCTGAGTTTTAATCAATGTTTTACCACTAACTAGCTTTAAAAGGCAAAATTTAACCTCTCAGAACTTCCATTTCCATTACTGAACACAGTAATACTTATCCTGTTACAAGAAACAGAAGCAACAAGGCATGCAAACATACTGTATGAAACTAGAAAGTGCTGTTCAAAGCAGGATTATTATTTCTGTTTTACAGAAAATTCTGAGACTCAGAGAAATGTAGTGAACTTGTCCAGGGTTGGGAGGATAAAAGTGATGTCCTGTGAACCTGTCTCTAGCTGCCCTCCTTCTTTGTCCAGTGCTCTTTCCACTCTAATCATGTTACCTCCTCCTGCGAGCAGGTCTGAGACATAAATGTAGAGGGCAAGGTTGATGAACTGCAGGCTGCTGGATGTGAAATACCCCTGATCTGGGCTCTGTGTTCCCTGGTTCATGTAGACTCTTGCCTCACACTGTATCTGTTCATCTGTGTACTCATTTATCTAAAGGAAGAAAAGAGAAAGAGTGAAAAGAAAGGAAAGGAAGCAAGAAAGGAGAAGGAAGGAGAGAAAGAAATACCTATTTGAAGATTAATTTTACATATAGGACTCAGTTCTCTCAATAAATCTGCAGAGTTTAGTTGGAGGTACCTACCACCAAGGCCAGGTAACTCTTTGGTCACCACCACCTAGAAATGTACAGCTCCTACAAGAGGGAGTGCTGAGCAGAGCCATCAGCATCTCCATTTTCTTTCTCCATTTTCCTAAGGATATGTCAAAAACGCAGAGAGTACATGACAAACATCATTCGGGGCCTTGGATTGGACTTGTGGCTTATTGGAAAGACAACATGAGGGATTTGGAGTCATACAGGCCAGAAAAGTAATTACAGCTTTGTCATTGCCACCTGACATGAGACTTCAGATTCTGGCTCTGTGTAATGAGCGTGAGCACTTCACTGGATTATTTGGGGGTTAAATGAGATAACATCTGTAAATGGCAAGACACTGTGCCAGACACATCGTAAACATGAAAATAACACTGTTGAGGACTTGTTATGTGCTAGACATTATTTTAAGTGCTTCACATGATCAACAAATTAAACACACAAAAACACAAGAATTAGGTTAATATCATTCCCCTTTCACGATGGAGGAAACAGACACATAAAGAAGTTGGGTAAGTTGACAGCATCACTCAGTTTAGGAGTGTTGGAACCAAGATTTGATCCCAGGCAGTCTGACTCCAGATCCCTGGGGTTTTCTATAATTTTTATTTTTTATTGAGATATAATTGAAATTCAGTAAACTGACTCTTAAAAGTGTACAGTTTGATGAGTTTTCTGTTTTTTAAAAATTTTTAATTTTTGTGGGTACATAGTAGGTATATATATTTCTGGAGTACGTGAGCTGTTTTGGTACAGGCATGCAATGTGAAATAACCATGCCTTCCAGAATGAGTTATCCATCACCTCAAGCATTTATCCTTTGTGTTACAAACAATCCAATTTTAGTTATTTTTAAATGTACAATTAAGTTACTGTGGACTATAGTCACCTTATTATGCTATCAAATAGTAGGTCTTATTCATTCTTTCTGTTCTTTTTGTACTCATTAGCCATCCCAGCCCCTCACTACCCTTTCCAGGCACTGGTAACCATCCTTCTACTCTCTGTGTCCATGAGTTCAACTGTCTTGATTGATAGATCCCACAAATAGGTGAGAACATGTGATGTTTGTCTTTCTATGCCTGGCTTATTTCACTTAATGACCTCCAGTTCCATCCATGTTGTTGCAGATGATAGGAGATATCATTCTTTTTTATGGCTGAATACTACTCCATTGTCTATATGTACCACATTTTCCTTATCCGTTCATTTGACATACATACATACTTATGAGACCATCACCACAAATGAGATGAGGAATACATACCAACCATCCCCATGCTCCTTTGTCATCTCTTCTACTTGCCTATCCCAGAAAACCGCTAATCTACTTTCTGACTCTATAGACTCATTGACATTTTCTAGAATTTTATATAGATGGAATCATATGTTATGTACCTGTTTATCTGATTTCTTTCATTTAGCATAATTCCTTTAGGGTACATTCACAGTGTATCTGTAGTGTATTCTTTTTTTATTGTTTAGTAGTATTTCATCATATAGATACAACCACAATTGGTTTATCCATTCACCTGTTGATGGGCACATGGATGTTTCCAGCTTTTGGCTATTCTAATTAACCTGAATTAGAATATGTCATAAACATGAATATACACATATTTATACAGACTTTTGTTTTCCATGCTTTTAATCACAAAACTACTATAATGCCTGTCTCTGTTTGAAGTGGGTTCCACAAACCCTACGATAAGTAAAAAATGATGGCCTAGCATGACATTCTTTTCTTGAAATCATACATTATTTAAGAGAGAACCCTGTAGGTACATGGTCTTGTTTCTTTCCTGGAGTAATGGCAGAAGAGAAAGAGCCTCTTGCATACCCCATGCTCACATGTGGAAACCTTTCTGGGATAGTGGGAGAGAGTAAAAGGACAAAGGGGCTGAGTTACTGGAATTTGATTTGCTGGAAAGCAAAGCCCAACCTACCTGTCACAGTTTTTAACCTGATGTGTTTTCAGAGCAGTTATTGGTGGTGAATGACTGGTCCCAACCGCATTACCTGCCAAAAGTTAACGTGAAAGCTCCAACGACTTAGGCAGGAAATGAGATGCCTGGGTGTTCCCAGAGTCAGTGAGACAATTAATCTGATTTACATCCATTGCATTTCAGAGAACTAAAATTTCATCTGCTGCTTCTAAGCATTCATTTGGGGTGAACCCACATTACTCTAAGTGAAACCCCTCAGTCAAGCTGTTTATAAACTACACAGTGGCTAACAGGGAAGTAAAACCAATAGAAGAGCTCAGAAATCACAGATAATGCCAAGATGGGAGAATGAATTAGACAGGACTGCACATGTGTGGAATAAATAAATAGATCAATTGGGTTAAAACTCTGCCCAGCAGATAACACAGGGACTTCATAAGTTTCCAAGGCTGAAGTGATAAACTAAAAACTCCAGACAGTAGAAAGAGACAGGAGGTTGCTTCCCAATGCAGGAAATGAAATATTCCTGGAGATTAAAAGAAAAAACACTAGGGATCTTATGGCAGTTTTTTATATTTTGTTTTTTAAGTTGTCCTCTCCTGTAGGATTCACAGGCACTAATATGACACAGATAAGATGGAAGTGATGTCTAGAGGGCAGAGTAGAACATTAACTATGGCTACAAAAATCATATCTCATGGAAGGAATAAGAGACAACAGCCTGCAGAGAACTTGCCTGTGAGGAGCCTGCTGAGTTGATTCTAGGATTGAGCAGAGTTCTATGTTAGCAATTCTCATTGCTTAGGGGGCCAGTGATTCCAGGGGATCTTGAGACATTATTTCCACTCTTCTTGGCTTAGAAACTTTTCAAAATAAATAGGCAATTATTTCTTATTTTAGACTTATCTTGCAGTCTGCTTCCTAAGGCACTGCTAACTGTTGCCTATGGTGGTAACCACAGATGTCAAGTCAATTTGGAGAAAATTTGAATAGTTCTCAACAGTGATGAACCATTCTGACTGTGTTTGATTTTTCTTAAAAGCAATGATTTCAAATGATTGGTGACATTGATAGATGAAAAAGACCAAGATTTTAGTACTTACCTACAGATGTGGTTAGCAAATGGGAGTTATGGTCATGCCAAATTATGTCCGTGTTCTAGCTGACCTCTGGCTGACCTCCTTTTAGATAACCCTAAGTCACTCTAATTACAAAATATTTTATTTTAACAAACCTTTATTGAGAACCAGCTACGTGTAGGCAATGCAGAGATGGAAGGCACTGACACATGAATGGGGTCCAGGAATAGGTTCAATGTGAGTAACAGCCTAGTAGGAAGCAGAATTCGGTTCAACTGAAAGATTTCAATGAAGGGATGACGTGCAGAGGAATTGGCAGGGTAAGAGAGTAAATACAGATAGGGTGGCATCTAAAAACATAGCACAGCAGGTGGCCTCACAAAAGCTGTGGTCATGGAAGGACACAGCATCTGCCACAGATGCTCAGCTACAGAAGGAGCAGGGCAGGCATAGCCGAAGCACTTCCCCTCTACTTACGTCTTCTTTCACCCTTCAGTCTCTTGCTGATGCATCCCATTGGCCAAACTCAACTTGAAACCATCTGCAAGGTGTATGCAGGCAACGGCTTTCTTGGCCCCAGAGTGGGTCAGAGAAAGAAGAGACTTGGGATGTGAGAGGTGGAATAAGTACAGGAGAACCTCTTCAGTCTCCCCGTTTTGCCATTCAGCATCTTTTCTTGCTTTTTATTAAGTAAAGAAACAGTTGCCCCCAAAACAGAGGAGAGAAAAAGTCTCACCAGCTACCATATTTTCATAGGATGATGTCAGTTCCCTCACATATCTCCCTGAAACTTGATGGACACTTCTGGAATTTTT
This sequence comes from Homo sapiens, assembly GCF_000001405.40. Classification (NCBI taxonomy): domain Eukaryota; kingdom Metazoa; phylum Chordata; class Mammalia; order Primates; family Hominidae; genus Homo; species Homo sapiens. The sequence continues at coordinate 87,479,547 of NC_000015.10, read as the reverse complement.
TATTTAAGGTAGGAAGAACAGATGGGAAGAGTCAAGTAACATGAAACGTGCATGGTTTCTATAGTTATCACTTCTATGGCTAGTCCCAAGACCTATGTTAATTATCGTAGCTTTCCTCTGACACCAGCCATTCCTTACCTTCATCCTCTGCCATCAGTTCAAAATTCTTTGCTTGGGAGAATGATCCATGACTTCATGATGGAAGGATCTAAGTTCTCAGTTGTTCAGGATTGATTAGGTTGCCTTAGTTTTCTATTTATTATTAAACTTTGATGTACCAACAGAGAGCCCAGTGAATCTCCTGGGTTCCAGACCTCGTTCTCTTTGCTCCTATTAAATAATTGTGTAGCTCTCATTGGGTTTCTTTTATTGGTTTTATACACCTGGAAGCCACCTGAAAGCAAGCTTAAGAGATACAGTCAACCTTTTGGATCACAGAACAGAGCACAGGAGGGAGGAAAATGCAGAATATCCAGAACAAATGACCTCAGTGCTGGGATAAGATTGGCCTGGGTCATGATTCTGCAAAGGAGTCTGAGCTTAGATCTGGTTAGAAAGTCAAAGGTTCTATCTGAAGCAGAATCGAGTGTCAATCTAGGCAAGGACACAAGGGTTCAATGACTTTCGCTCTGTTGTGCCCAAGCTGCTGACCCCCACCTGTCAGACCTTTATATCAAGTTACCATTGTCTCACAACAAACTCATCATCATAAAAATAGCTTTATTTCTTAGACACCAACTATAATGCTACATCCTTTAATAAACTGTAATGGGCATGTACTAAGTATTCACACTTTGCAAAAGGCTTTCACATACCTTCCTGTAAGTTAATGTTTCAAATAAATCTGTCTGTGATTGTTTGATCAGCTTTTTAGATAAGGAACTGAGACTTAGGGAAATTAACTTTCCCTAAAAGAGAAAGTGAGTAAAAGGCAAAGAGAAGATTCAAATCCAATCTGATGTAAAAATGTATGTTTTTATTGCCTACTTTATGCTGCCTCCTGTAACTTCACTACAATCCTGCAGGGGGATTATTATTTGCATTTTATGGGCAGGGAAACAGACGGAGAGAAGTCCAGTAACTTTCCTAAGTCGCATAGCTAGTTAGGAGAAGAGGCTGGGGACCCACCCTACTCCAAAATCCATGTTCTTTGCATTCTATATAAGTTTAGCTTACACTGAAGAGCAAGTTAACAGAGATGGGGAGAGAAGTGAGTGAAGAAGCATTTGGCAGGGGCCAGTGGCACAGTAATGACTACATGGCAATAGCTTTGTGGAAAGCAACAGTACACCCAGTAAGGTAGGGTGGAGCCAGTAACAGATCCGGAAGAAGGAGCAGATGAGCTTGGGATAAGGAAGAGAGGTGTGAGAAGGTTTTGCACCCAGCTGAAGGTCACATTTCATTTGCCATAAACATAGCCTTTCTCGAATTCTAAATTCAGTGGCAGATGTTTTTTCAATACAAAAAGAAAGAAACATACATAAAACAAATCTCTTTTTAATCTACGCGTTTGCCTCCACTCTCTCCACACATACAAAAAGAGAAATAGAGCAGTGCAGTTCCTGTTGGTGAGTTACCATGGAGACAGCTTCCACATGATCTCCAGCCATGACTCACCACTGCAGGAGTCTCCAAACTTAATTATTTATTAATAGGCTTTTACCAGGGCAGCCTCCAGAGGTGGAACATCTTGTTTCCAAGGCTGGGACAGCGGTGAGAAATGGAGGCAGAAAACACTCTGCAATTACAAAGAATTAATTAGAACCTCTGTAAACGCACTGACAAACATGCCTTAGGAGAAACTGTGGTGGGATTCGAGGGTACTCAGGTGTCCGGGGGAGAAAAAGCGAAAGTGAGCAGTGGGTCTCCAACAATTCTTTCTCCTGTGACACTGAAAGAGTCCCTTGTACTGTTCCTTCCATGAACTAGTTATTCAAGTTGGATTAGTGACCTACAAATTCCAGGAAAAAATAATTTACACTAAAAAATATAAATATATGTGTATTTATAAATATACACATATAAATATGTGTGTGTGTGTATATACATATATTTTCAGTCTTTGTGTACCTCCCAAAGATAAGATAATCAAATTGACATAGGTAAACTAATTAATAAATGAGGTGCTTAGAAATGACATCAGTTATATTAGAGCAAGGTCTTGCTGGGAAGCATAAGTGATTCCTGAGATACCTATTTACATGATTGCACATGATTTTTTTCCTTTACACTTAAACCTAGTGAATGCAAATGGAATGGAAAAGGCAGGAAGGTGGTTGATTAACCAGTTAGTTAATTTATTGGTTCATTCTTTCATCCATTCAACTACAGAGCTATTTATTCATTCTTCTGCGCTTACCAGGAATCACTGATTTGAATATCACATGGTGCTTGACCCATGGATGGCTCAGTCTAGTAAGAGACATGAGACATGTACATAGGTCACTAAATTCATGGTAAGTGATTATTAATTATCTTAGGAGATGGATAGGTGGAAGGGAATAACAAATGGAAAGATAAACTTGTCACAATAAAGTCATAGAATGAATAGTGACACTTTGTGCCTGAGATGAAATTCATCACCCACCGATGTTCCTTCCAACTCGTAAGATCTCTCTGAATCTATGTCAAGTAGGCAACTCATTTTGATGTTGGGTTATGTGAATAGCACACAAAATCTTATCTCGGTTCCATTGTTGAGTTTTCTTATATTTATTGCTGTGTGGCGTATCTATCTGCCATAACGAAACTGTCAAGGATCTGACTGGGATAATTCAGTCTGTCCTTTACTGAGGTTTAAACTTCCACTCCAAGTTAGGGCATAATTATTTGGCAATTCGTTTTCTTACATATTTGAGTATGAAAAGAGACGTTCAGAGCACTCCATAGCATTTTAGAGCTAGAAAAACGTTGTAGGTTATAAAATGAATAAAAGCTACTGTCTCTTGGTTATTATATGCCAGGCGCTTTTCTTATATTAGCTTTAATCCCTAAAACACTGCAGGGTAAGCATGACCAGTCAAAATTTTTCATCAATGAGGAATTTAGGCTTGGAAATATTAATTAACAGGTCCAATATTCCAGAGTTAGTTAGGAAAGCTAGTTTGTGTTGAACCCTAAAGCCAGCATTTGTTTGACTGGACACTGATCCAATCTAGCTTCAGTTCCCTAGTTTCACAGGGAAATTAAGACTCAGAAATTTGAGACACCCTCATAGTCATTCCTGTTTACAAGGTTTTAATTAACGAGAAACAATTTGCTGAATTGTTATTTTTGCTAAAATTAATAACCAACATCAAAATTAACAGTAAGCCTTTAATTCTCATTGAAGTCAGGAATGCTACACGGATTCATGCAATCACAACTATTATTTAACATTGATCCGAAACTTTAGTAATGGAAATGAGAGATGGGAAAATTAGGTAGAGTTACAAGAAATAGAGAGGAGGGAAAGTTCATAATTAATTCTTTGATGAAATCAAATGGAACAATTAAAAATTCTAATAAAGCAAATATTAGAATTTAAAACACTGATTGGTTTCAAATTATATGTCCAAAAGCAACAGCTATGAAAATACAAGGGACCCAGAATAGCCAAAACAATTTTGAAAAAGAAGAACAAAGTGAGAGGAGTCAAACTTCCTGACTTAAAAATTTACATAGTGTTAGTAAATGTGTACTGGCATAAGAATAGTCACACAGATCAAAATAATGAAATGAAGAGTTTAGAAGTAAACTCATATTTCGACTCAACTGTTGTCAAGGATGCTAGGGCAGTTCAGTGGGGGAAATAATAGTGTTTCCAACTAAAGATACTAGGATAACTGGATATGAAATGCAAAAGAATGAAGTTGGACTACTGCCTTACAACATAGACAATAATTAATTCAAAAATAGACCTGAACAATGTATTAAAGAGAAGACTCCATCAGTAACATAAAAAAAGTTTAAAACAGGCAAAATTTATGTGAGAAAAATTATAAAACACTCCTGAAGTAGAGTTGGACAAATAGAACGATGTATCATATTCCTGGAAGGAACATTCAACATCATTAAAATATATTATTTTAAAGTTAATATATAAACATCATAGGACCAAATTAAAAGGAAAAATTTTTATATGTTTTTTTTTTCTGGAGCCAGACAAGTTAATTATAAAGTACATTTACAAGAACAAAAAGCAAAAATAGCTAAAATCTCTCTGATTAAAACATTGTGAACAGAACCAGTAATAGATTTATATACAAAAATTGAATTTATAATACCATAACATTTCATACTACTGGGGGAAAGATGAACTTCTTGATGAATGGTAATGGAATATATGAATAACAAAATAAAAAATGAAAATTGGTCTAGTCCTCATCCCATATACCAAAAAAGAATCCAAAATGAATCAAAGATTTAAATGTTAAAAACTAACATATAATGGAATAAAGTATGAAGTAATTATTTTATGATCTAGAAATGGGAATAATTAATAATACTTAAATCCACATTCAATAGGGGAAATCTTGAGATATATGAATGTATATAAATGTATATAATTATATATGATATAATCTAATAGGATATAATATATAGATTATATCATATATATTTATAATATGATGTAAATATTTCTAATATATGTATAATTTTTAATGTATAATATTATGTATTTTAATGTATAATTTATATGTATAATTTTTGCAAGTACCAAAATAGTTTGTAACTTACTTACAAAACACACCAGAAGAGTCAGTAATCTTAACATAAAAAGAACTTCTAAAAACATAAGAAACAACAAGACAAATGCATGAGATATATAAAGACATTGATTTACAGAAAGTAAAAAACAAATTGTCCTTAACTTATGAAAAGATGTTCAACCTCACTTATAGTAAGAAAAATGAAATTTAAAAACGACACTGATATGCCATTACTTTCCTCCCAGATTGCCGAAATCCAAAAGGTTGATAAGCACACTACTTGTGAAACTTCAAAGACATACACACTCTTGTAGATTAGCAATGGATATATTAAATTACACAAGCAATATGGTGACATCTAGCAAAATTATATATCCATGTAACATATGCATACATATTGACCCGTTGACCCAGCAATCTTGCTTCTAATAATTTGTCACAATGATACGTTCCAAAAGTACAAAACGACATATTCCCAAAGATGTTCATTACAGCACTCGTTGTCATAGTAAAAGACTATGTCCCCAAGTGTCCATCTATAGGGGACTAGTTATAAATAAGCTATGAGTGTTCACTTCTGTATCATATATACTAAAACTGGAACAATACAGAGAAGATCAGCATGGCTCCTGCACTAGGATGGCACTCAAATTCGTGAAGTGTTCCATGCTTTTTTTAAAAAAAAACATTAAACACTGAGCAAAGCCAGCATGCTTATGGCAACCTGTTTTGGGCTCAGTTTTGTTTTGTCACTAGCTGAACACAAAGGTTCTTGTTTAATTCTTAGCCTAAGTATAGACGATCATAGGGGAGAGGGAGTCTGTGTTCTCAGCCTCCTGAATACTTAACATAATTTAAATATAAAAAAAAAGAAAAGTAAGGTAAACCTGTGCTACAATTCCCAGATGGGTAAGTGTAGCCCTTAGAGCTCAGGCCAAGGCAGAATCTAAATCACACCATTTCAAGATTATGTGTGTGTGTGTGTGTGTGTATGTGTATATGTGTGTGTGTGTGTGTATATATATATATATACACACACGTGTATATATATATGTGTGTGTGTATATATATATGAAACAATGGAGTGTGGCCAATTACGATTATAATTTTTTCAAAGACTGTGGCTCACAAAGTTGTCTATATTAGTTTAAGGAGACCAGTGAATTTTTTAATTCTTTTTTTATTTTTATTGATTTGAGGATACAAGTGCTGTTTTGCCACATGGATATATTGCATAGTGGTGAAGTCTGGACTTCCAGTGTAACCATCACCCAAATAGTGTTCATTGTGCCCATTAAGTAATTTCTCATCCCTAGCACCCCCTGCCCCTCCCACCTTTCCTAGTCTTCAAGGTCTATTATTCCAACCTCTATGTCCACATGTACACATTATTTAGTTCCCACTTCAAAGTGAGAACATGCGTTTAAGACACTAAATCATTGATTTCTTTAATATGCTTGAAGTCACTTTGTGATTTGTTGTTACTTTTTAACCTTCTGTCTCTGCTGTGGGAAGAGTGGGTTCTAGGTCCACCTTTTTGCTTTGTGAGGCCAAGCACAGGTGTCTGCTCACCCTGCATGGCTGACCAGAGAAGGTGTTGCAACAGGCTCTGCCTTTTCGAGAAACCTTGCAGGATGAACAGGCCAGCAGGGATGCCCTCCTATATGTTTTGATGTTTTGTTTTTGTAAGAAGAAGGAAAGAAAGAGAACGTAAAACTGTGCTGATAAGTTGAGAGTAGGGGGAGGGATAGATAGCATTAGGAGATATACCTAATGTAAATGACGAGTTAATGGGTGCAGCACACCAACAAGGCACATGTATACATATGTAACGAACCTGCACGGTGTGCACATGTACCCTGGAACTTAGAGTATAATTTAAAAAAATAAAAATAAAATAAAAAAGGGTCTTGATGGCTGGGCGTGGTGGCTCACACATGTAATCCCAGCACCTTGGGAGACCAAGACAGGGGTTTGAGACCAGCCTGGATAACATAGCGAGACCCTGTTTCTACAAAAAGTTAAAAAAAAAGTTAGCTGGGAGTGACAACATATGAGATCAGGGTGTGGTGGTAGGTGGCTGTGGCCCCAGCTACTCTAAGCTTAGTCGGGAGTATCTTGAGCCTAGGAGTTCGAGTCCAGCCTGGGCAACATAGTGACCACCCATCTCTACAACAAATAAATAAATAAAAAAGGATCTTGAGAAACTGGCTGGTCAAATTGGATTCACAGTAATATTTTTCATTGCTGGAGTGAGGTAGCAGCTCTCCTCTGTAGCTGAAAATTGTTTCAGTTGGGGGTGGAGGAAAAAGAATGCCTCTAAGTTTGCTCTTAAAAATAATCACATAGAAGCATGAGCTATATGTTGGAAGTGCCCTGGTTTCAGTCCACGTACTTAATCGTGGTACATAATCCTAAAGGGCTTTAAATGTACATAAAAATATAGTTTGAAATTATTTGCTTTACTGTTCACACTGTAGATCACTATAATTTCAAGAAGTGGCATTATAAATAAAAGGAGGCACATTAGGATGCTGTCTGTTTTTAAATCTGAACTTGAATTCACCTGATCAAAAATTGTATTTTTTTTAAAGAAACACATGTCTAGTCTGTCCTTTTAAACTAATTGTTCTCTTAAGCTATGATATAAATCAAATCATTATCCGTTAACTTTCAAAGCACATCTATTTAAGAGTTTTGTTTTGAAAAAATATGCTACAGGTTAAAAAAAATGCTACATAAAAATGAGAAGCTGCTGAATGTTTTGAAATCGGTTGTTTCTTAAAAGGTATATTAGCTAAAAGATTTATTTAGCTAATAAATCATACAAACAATTTTGTATGATTCAATAAAAGAAAACACCAAGGTAAAATAAAAATAAAAACAAAACAAAACTAACTAAACTATGAATACACAATGAAGTATTATTCTAGTGTGTAATTAAACATATATTTGTATGCTGCTGCTCTTATATTATCTTTGGGGATGTATTAAGTAAAAAACAATAAAACTATTGGAAACATTTTTGTATAATATGGCACAACATTTAATTGAGAAAGAAGGGACTAATATATAATTTATATCTATATATATCCATATATTCATATGTATATTTAATGTACATATAAATATATATTAAAGGGTATATGTACATAAATCCTTTATTTTTAAACTGGATAGATATGGAATATAAAAGGATATATATACATATAAATCCTTTACTTAAAAACGGAAGAAAAAACTGAATTTTTTTTAACAGAGAATAGCAGAGACAGGATTGAAGTTAGACTTTTCTAATACATTTTGTTTTGTAGGTTTGACTTTAACACCATGTAAATGCATATACTTTTGAAACAAAATTACATAAGACTTAAAAAAGGAATTGCTAATAATTAAAAAAAACAATCTTTGAATTGAGTTGTTGGAAAAATGATGCAGAGAGAAACTGTTTCAAATAACTTTAAAATGTGGTAATTTTATTGCATGCCCTTAACGGATTAAATGCAGAAGATAACAATAATTAAAACAAAACATAAACACACCAAAGCTTATTGTTAGTCAATTGTGTGTGTGTGTAGAGAAAATAATTATGTGAATAAACAAAGACTTTCAATGTTAAAGAAGAGATCATATCTAAAATCAAATAAGAAATGCCAAGAAGTTTAATCCCACATTTCAGTGAAAATATCAGTATGAACTCATACTGTATTTTCTTTGGCAGGAAAACAAATACTTGAAATCATGGCTAAAGCAATAGCAATGAGCACCCCTAATGCTCAGCTCATAAACTTAATCACAACATTAATCGGGGATCTTTGAAGATACGACTGATTCCTGATTTGAGGTAGAAAATGAGTCTAGATCATTGAAAGTATGAAAGTTACAAAAGGCAGTTGGAGTTTGATTCAAAATCATTCAGATAAAATTTTAAGAGGCTTCCACTGCCCAAAAATGGAAAATTTGAGTGTTAATAAGGATATTAAAACACAGCAGTATTTTAAAATTCATCAGTTTATAATATCAAAAAACAAAACACAAAAATACCCTTATTGTTTACCTTTGGAGATGTAGAAAATCAACTCATTATTTGAAAACTGATAAGCAAGAAAAGGTTTATATGGCAAAACATATAATCATTAGTAGTAAAACAATTTTGAAAAAATATTGTGATAAAGTATTTACACTCTCAGATAATAAAATATTACAGAATATTTAAACCATGTGGCATTAGTACAATAACAATAGAACAATAAAATAAAATACACATCCAAGTATATCTGTTATTCATATGATACATTTAGCATTCAAATTATTGACAAAGTGCTAGATTGTTTAATAAGTAGTTCAGACATAATTGGTTAACTATTTGGAGAACTAACTTTCATCCTACCATAGCAACATCAATTCCAGATAAAATCAAGAGAATGTAGAAGTTGGGGAAGAAGGAACGGAAATATGGTAAAGAAGAAGAAAAAGAGAATGGAAAAAAAGAAAGTGAAGGGTTAGATAAAGAGAAGAGTGTAAGAAATTAACAAAAAAAATCCAGTGTTAGAGTGGGTCAAGACTTTCTAGGCAAATACCTCAAGAAAAAAGAAAAAAGAAAATATTCAATAAAAAGAACTCTAGAATCAGATTCTCTAATTTTAAATACCAAGCTCTAACATATAATAACTGGTATGCAACTTGGGAAAGACACTGAACCTCTCTGTGGCTCAGTTTCCCCAATGAAATAAGGATACTTATTGTATGCATTTTAAAGGTGGTTTAAAGATTAAATAAAATTGCATGTGTTAAAAATTTAGTACAATCTGAAGTCTATAGACCAGCTACATAAATGTGGGCTATTAATGAATGCAATTTGAAATTTTACATATTAAAAACTTTATAACAATAAATACAAATGATGAACTGAGAAAATACAACATGTAAATGTCTGTAATAGATGAACGACTAATAAAATTATAACTATATAAAATAAATATACAAAGGAGAAATAAAAGATCAGTAATTTATAAAATAAATATCAATGACAAGACTTGAAAAAATATTCAACTAATTAAAATCAAAGCAAATGAAACTAAAATTAGATACTTATTGTCTCTTTGTTTTTTTTTATTATTATTATACTTTAAGTTTTAGGGTACATGTGCACAATGTGCAGGTTAGTTACATATGTATACATGTGCCATGCTGGTGTGCTGCACCCATTAACTCGTCATCTAGCATTAGGTATATCTCCCAATGCTATCCCTCCCCCCTCCCCCATCCCACAACAGTCCACAGAGTGTGATGTTCCTCTTCCTGTGTCCATGTGTTCTCATTGTTCAATTCCCACCTATGAGTGAGAACATGCGGTGTTTGGTTTTTTGTTCTTGTGACAGTTTACTGAGAATGATGATTTCCAATTTCATCCATGTCCCTACAAAGGACATGAACTCATCCTTTTTTATGGCTGCATAGTATTCCATGGTGTATATGTGCCACATTTTCTTAATCTAGTCTATCATTGTTGGACATATGGGTTGGTTCCAAGTCTTTGCTATTGTGAATAATGCCGCAATAAACATACGTGTGCATGTGTCTTTATAGCAGCATGATTTATAGTCCTTTGGGTATATACTCAGTAATTGGATGGCTGGGTCAAACGGTATTTCTAGTTCTAGATCCCTGAGGAATCGCCACACTGACATCCACAATGGTTGAACTAGTTTACAGTCCCACCAACAGTGTAAAAGTGTTCCTATTTCTCCACATCCTCTCCAGCACCTGTTGTTTCCTGACTTTTTAATGATTGCCATTCTAACTGGTGTGAGATGGTATCTCCTTGTGGTTTTGATTTGCATTTCTCTGATGGCCAGTGATGGTGAGCATTTTTTCATGTATTTTTTGGCGGCATAAATGTCTTCTTTTGAGAAGTGTCTGCTCATGTCCTTCGCCCACTTTTTGATGGGGTTGTTTGTTTTTTTCTTGTAAATTTGTTTGAGTTCATTGTAGATTCTGGATATTAGCCCTTTGTCAGATGAGTAGGTTGCAAAAATTTTCTCCCATTTTGTAGGTTGCCTGTTCACTCTGATGGTAGTTTCTTTTGCTGTGCAGAAGCCCTTTAGTTTAATTAGATCCCATTTGTCAATTTTGGCTTTGGTTGCCATTGCTTTTGGTGTTTTAGACATGAAGTCCTTGCCCATGCCTATGTCCTGAATGGTAATGCCTAGGTTTTCTTCTAGGGTTTTTATGGTTTTAGGTCTAACGTTTAAGTCTTTAATCCATCTTGAATTGATTTTTGTATAAGGTGTAAGGAAGGGATCAAGTTTCAGCTTTCTACATATGGTTAGCCAGTTTTCCCAGCACCATTTATTAAATAGGGAATCCTTTCCCCATTGCTTGTTTTTCTCAGGTTTGTCAAAGATCAGATAGTTGTAGATATGTGGTGTGATTTCTGAGGGCTCTGTTCTGTTCCATTGATCTATATCTCTGCTTTGGTACCAGTACCATGCTATTTTGGTTACTGTAGCCTTGTAGTATAGTTTGAAGTCAGGTAGTGTGATGCCTCCAGCTTTGTTCTTTTGGCTTAGGATTGACTTGGCGATGCGGGCTCTTTTTTGGTTCCATATGAACTTTAAAGTAGTTTTTTCCAATTCTGTGAAGAAAGTCATTGGTAGCTTGATGGGGATGGCATTGAATCTGTAAATTACCTTGGGCACTATGGCCATTTTCATGATATTGATTCTTCCTACCCATGAGCATGGAATGTTCTTCCATTTGTTTGTATCCTCTTTTATTTCCTTGAGCAGTGGTTTGTAGTTCTCCTTGAAGAGGTCTTTCACATCCTGTGTAAGTTGGATTCCTAGGTATTTTATTCTCTTTGAAGCAATTGTGAATGGGAGTTCACTCATGATTTGGCTCTCTGTTTGTCTGTTGTTGGTGTATAAGAATGCTTGTGATTTTTGTACATTGATTTTGTATCCTGAGACTTTGCTGAAGTTGCTTATCAGCTTAAGGAGATTTTGGGCTGAGACAATGGGGTTTTCTAGATATACAATCATGTCGTCTGCAGACAGGGACAATTTGACTTCCTCTTTTCCTAATTGAATACCCCTTATTTCCTTCTCCTGCCTAATTGCCCTGGCCAGAACTTCCAACACTATGTTGAATAGGAGTGGTGAGAGAGGGCATCCCTGTCTTGTGCCAGTTTTCAAAGGGAATGCTTCCAGTTTTTGCCCATTCACTATGATATTGGCTGTGGGTTTGTCATAGATAGCTCTTATTATTTTGACATACGTCCCATCAATACCTAATTTATTGAGAGTTTTTAGCATGAAGAGTTGTTGAATTTTGTCAAAGGCCTTTTTTGCATCTATTGAGATAATCATGTGGTTTTTGTCTTTGGTTCTGTTTATATGCTGGATTACATTTATTGATTTGTGTATATTGAACCAGCCTTGCATCCCAGGGATGAAGCCCACTTGATCATGGTGGATAAGCTTTTAGATGTGCTGCTGGATTCGGTTTGCCAGTATTTTATTGAGGATTTTTGCATCAATGTTCATCAAGGATATTGGTCTAAAATTCTCTTTTTTGGTTGTGTCTCTGCCCGGCTTTGGTATCAGGATGATGCTGGCCTCATAAAATGAGTTAGGGAGGATTCCCTCTTTTTCCATTGATTGGAATAGTTTCAGAAGGAATGGTACCAGTTCCTCTTTGTACCTCTGGTAGAATTCAGCTGTGAATCCGTCTGGTCCTGGACTCTTTTTGGTTGGTAAGCTATTGATTATTGCCACAATTTCAGATCCTGCTATTGGTCTATTCAGAGATTCAACTTCTTCCTGGTTTAGTCTTGGGAGAGTGTATGTGTCAAAGAATTTATCTGTTTCTTCTAGATTTTCTAGTTTATTTGCGTAGAGGTGTTTGTAGTATTCTCTGATGGTAGTTTGTATTTCTGTGGGATCGGTGGTGATATCCCCTTTATCATTTTTTATTGTGTCTATTTGATTCTTCTCTCTTTTTTTATTAGTCTTCTAGCAGTCTATCAATTTTGTTGATCCTTTCAAAAAACGAGCTCCTGGATTCATTAATTTTTTGAAGGGTTTATTGTGTCTCTATTTCCTTCAGTTCTGCTCTGATTTTAGTCATTTCTTGCCTTCTGCTAGCTTCTGAATGTGTTTGCTCTTGCTTTTCTAGTTCTTTTAATTGTGATGTTAGGGTGTCAATTTTGGATCTTTCCTGCTTTCTCTTGTGGGCATTTAGTGCTATAAATTTCCATCTACACACTGCTTTGAATGTGTCCCAGAGATTCTGGTATGTTGTGTCTTTCTTCTTGTTGGTTTCAAAGAACGTCTTTATTTCTGCCTTCATTTCCTTATGTACCCAGTAGTCATTCAGGAGCAGATTGTTCAGTTTCCATGTAGTTGAGCGGTTTTGAGTGAGATTCTTAATCCTGAGTTCTAGTTTGATTGCAGTGTGGTCTGAGAGATAGTTTGTTATAATTTCTGTTCTTTTACATTTGCTGAGGAGAGCTTTACTTCCAAGTATGTGGTCAATTTTGGAATAGGTGTGGTGTGGTGCTGAAAAAAATGTATATTCTGTTGATTTGGGGTGGAGAGTTCTGTAGATGTCTATTAGGTCCACTTGGTGCAGAGCTGAGTTCAATTCCTGGGTATCCTTGTTGACTTTCTGTCTCGTGATCTGTCTAATGTTGACAGTGGGGTGTTAAAGTCTCCCATTATTACTGTGTGGGAGTCTAAGTCTCTTTGTAGGTCACTCAGGACTTGCTTTGTGAATCTGGGTGCTCCTGTATTGGGTGCATATATATTTAGGATAGTTAGTTCTTCTTGTTGAATTGATCCCTTTACCATTATGTAATGGCCTTCTTTGTCTCTTTTGATCTTTGTTGGTTTAAAGTCTGTTTTATCAGAGACTAGGATTGCAACCCCTGCCTTTTTTTGTTTTCCATTTGCTTGGTAGATCTTCCTCCATCCCTTTATTTTGAGCCTATGTGTGTCTCTGCACGTGAGCTGGGTTTCCTGAATACAGCACACTGATGGGTCTTGACTCTTTATCCAATTTGCCAGTCTGTGTCTTTTAATTGGAGCATTTAGTCCATTTACATTTAAAGTTAATATTGTTATGTGTGAATTTGATCCTGTCATTATGATGTTAGCTGGTGATTTTGCTCATTAGTTGATGCAGTTTCTTCCTAGTCTCGATGGTCTTTACATTTTGGCATGATTTTGCAGCGGCTGGTACCGGTTGTTCCTTTCCATGTTTAGCGCTTCCTTCAGGAGGTCTTTTAGGGCAGGCCTGGTGGTGACAAAATGTCTCAGCATTTGCTTGTCTGTAAAGGATTTTATTTCTCCTTCACTTATGAAGCTTAGTTTGGCTGGATATGAAATTCTGGGTTGAAAATTCTTTTCTTTAAGAATGTTGAATATTGGCCCCCACTCTCTTCTGGCTTGTAGAGTTTCTGCCGAGAGATCCACTCTTAGTCTGATGGGCTTCCCTTTGAGGGTAACCCGACCTTTCTCTCTGGCTGCCCTTAACATTTTTTCCTTCGTTTTAACTTTGGTGAATCTGACAATTATGTGTCTTGGAGTTGCTCTTCTCGAGGAGTATCTCTGTGGCGTTCTCTGTATTTCCTGAATCTGAATGTTGGCCTGCCTCACTAGATTGGGGAAATTCTCCTGGATAATATCCTGCAGAGTGTTTTCCAACTTGGTTCCATTCTCCCCGTCACTTTCAGGTACACCAATCAGACGTAGATTTGGTCTTTTCACATAGTCCCATATTTCTTGGAGGCTTTGCTCGTTTCTTTTTATTCTTTTTTCTCTAAACTTCCCTTCTCGCTTCATTTCATTCATTTCATCTTCCATTGCTGATACCCTTTCTTCCAGTTGATCGCATCGGCTCCTGAGGCTTCTGCATTCTTCAGGTAGTTCTCGAGCCTTGGTTTTCAGCTCCATCAGCTCCTTTAAGCACTTCTCTGTATTGGTTATTCTGGTTATACATTCTTCTAAATTTTTTTCAAAGTTTTCAACTTCTTTGCCTTTGGTTTGAATGTCCTCCCGTAGCTCAGAGTAATTTGATCGTCTGAAGCCTTCTTCTCTCAGCTCGTCAAAGTCATTCTCCGTCCAGCTTTGTTCCGTTGCTGGTGAGGAACTGCGTTCCTTTGAAGGAGGAGAGGCGTTCTGCTTTTTAGAGTTTCCAGTTTTTCTGCTCTGTTTTTTCCCCATCTTTGTGGTTTTATCTACTTTTGGTCTTTGATGATGGTGATGTACAGATGGGTTTTAGTGTGGATGTCCTTTCTGTTTGTTAGTTTTCCTTCTAACAGACACGACCCTCAGCTGCAGGTCTGTTGGAGTACCCGGCCGTGTGAGGTGTCAGTCTGCGCCTGCTGGGGGGTGCCTCCCAGTTAGGCTGCTGGGGGGTCAGGGGTCAGGGACCCACTTGAGGCAGTCTGCCCGTTCTCAGATCTCCAGCTGCGTGCTGGGAGAACCACTGCTCTCTTCAAAGCTGTCAGACAGGGACATTTAAGTCTGTAGAGGTTACTGCTGTCTTTTTGTTTGTCTGTGCCCTGCCCCCAGAGGTGGAGCCTACAGAGGCAGGCAGGCCTCCTTGAGCTGTGGTGGGCTCCACCCAGTTGGAGCTTCCTGGCTGCTTTGTTTACCTA
Organism: Homo sapiens; assembly: GCF_000001405.40. Taxonomy (NCBI): domain Eukaryota; kingdom Metazoa; phylum Chordata; class Mammalia; order Primates; family Hominidae; genus Homo; species Homo sapiens. The sequence continues at coordinate 87,464,193 of NC_000015.10, read as the reverse complement.
AGCAAGCCTGGGCAATGGCGAGAGCCCCTCCCCCAGCCTCGCTGCCGCCTTGCAGTTTGATCTCAGACTGCTGTGCTAGCAGTCAGCTAGACTCTGTGGGCTTGGGACCCTGCAAGCCAGGTGCGGGATGTAATCTCCTGGTGCGCTGTTTTTTAAGCCTGTGGGAAAAGCGCAGTATTCGGGTGGGGGTGACCCAATTTTCCAGGTGCTGTCTGTCACCCCTTTCTTTGACTAGGAAAGGGAACTCCCTGACCCCTTGCGCTTCCCGAGTGAGGCAATGCCTCGCCCTGCTTTGGCTTGCGCACCCACTGACCTGCGCCCACTGTTTGGCACTCCCTAGTGAGATGAACCCGGTACCTCAGATGGAAATGCAGAAATCACCCGTCTTCTGCGTCGCTCACGCTGGGAGCTGTAGACTGGAGCTGTTCCTATTCAGCCATCTTGGCTCCTCCCCCCCTTATTGTCTCTTTGAAAAAAAAAAAAAACTGAAGACAAGATTCAGTTTTGGTGAAATTATATTAAAACTGCTAATCTCTTAACACTGCTGGGATAAATACATCATTAACTCTATGCAGGGTAATTTAGAGGCGTGGGTCAAGTCTAAATTTATGCTAAGAAAATGCTTAGGAAATTAATATATTATACAAAAATATTCTTTATACTATCATTTGTAATAGTAAAAACCTAGCGTCAACCAATGTATCCAGTGTATCCAAAGATATATGATTTGTCGAATGTATTTTGATATTTAGAAGAATTGTTAATGACATGCGTATGCTGTATTATAAAGTTTTTAAAAGCAGGTCACAAATAATGCTTTCACCATGATACTGATTTCGAAAAAATACATGGTGGTATTTTTTTTATTTTTACATGTGCATTTTGAAAATTTTCTTCTGTGAAAACACATTTATTTTGTAATTTGAAAAATTTTTAAAAAGCTTCTCAAGGTTTGAAAAATAAGCTATTATAATTATACGAGCTTACCATGAGTTGGTAGTGATGTTTTTCTTACAAGTAAAATAAATAAATAATAAATAGTGCTCATAGCTATGATTCCTGGCGTCTCTCAAGGACTATAATGAGGAAAAAGTCCAACCTGGCTGGCAGATTCTTATGAGTTTTTATAGGCCATGGTGTCCCTCGTATATGACATCTTAAGCTGACCTAAAAAGGAATAAATTCTGAGAAAGGTTTACACAGAGTAAGCTTTTATAAACATTGCAACATCTTTCCCAGTCTTCATCTCAGCCTAGCAAACACCTGTCACCTTCACAAGTGACATCTCATAATAAGCACAGAGAGGACTATTTTCAAGAAAGTGGGGGTAATGGACGCGTTGATTTCAAAATCATCCCCAGTTCAGAGTTGCTCAACCTTCAAGGTCCTATCTAGTAATCATGTATTCTGTTTGTGGGGTCTTGGAATTTAGAACATGTCTCCTACTCATTGGTAATGTATGCACCAGATTTTCCCATACTCTCCCAACATCTTGGTGTTGGGAATGCTGCTTAGACCCATATACCCTCCAATTATCCAGCATTCAAATTTCATAAGATTAATAACATTACTACATAAATTTTATATATCAAATAGGGAATAAGTGAAGAACTTGAATCTATTTCACTGTATCCTAACATCAAAAGTAGACTGTAATGTATTCTAAGATAAATGGGGATGCAGTTCTTTCATATGTAGACTCTCTTTATTGATAAGGAAATATAGAATATTAGAAAGGATTACAAGCCAAGGCAAATTTGAAATATCTTACCCGTTAAGCTAATTGTCCAGCACTGCTTACTTTTAGTCACTCTGCAATATGCTCTGATATGGGCAGAAAGCTGGTTTAGTGACACCAAGCCAAGGGAATGACTAAACAAATTTGTTTTCTGATTAGACAAGTTTAAATATTATGGTTCTTTACACTGATTATTTTTTCAGCAAGTATTTGCTGAACAACTACCACGTGCCAGTCACTGTGATTAGTCTATGGGATACATCACAGAACTTCAGAATTAACATCTTAGTGATAATCTTTTGGCATGAGTGAAAGGAATTTCTAAATGTTTACATCAGGAATCAGCAAACTACAACTTGCAGGCCAAATTTAGCTTTACTACCTGTTCCTTTTAATAAAATTTAACAAAACACAGCTATAGTCATTCATTTATATATTATCTGTGGCAGTTTACATGCTGCAGTAGTGGTTGAGTTACAACAGAGACCATATGTAATCCAAAGCCTAAAATATTTACTGTTTTGTCATTTATGGAAAAAGTTTGCTAACCTTTGGTTTAGATAACTCTAAAATCTCAGGTTTCCTTATAAATTGCCATGATTCATTCACTCCAGTCTATTCTTCAAACAACCTCCAGAGTCATCCTTTTTATATGAAAGTGGGATGATATTACTCTGCTCTTAAAAATGACAATGACTTTTCATGCTCTTACAGTGAATACTACACTGTTACACAATGCCTGTCTTTCTTTTTTTTTTTTTTTTTTTTTTTTTTGGTTGCTGTAACTGAATACCCAAGACTGGGTAATTTATAAAAAAAAATAAATTTACTTCTTACAGTTCCAGAGGCTGAGAAGTCCAAGTGTCCAAGTTTAAGAGACTGTATCTGGTGAGGCCCTTCTTGCTGATGAGAACTCTCAGCAAAGTCCTGAGACAGCACTGGATATCACATGGTGAGGGGACAAGAGCAGTCCTGCTCAGGTCTCTCTCCCTCTTCTTATAAAGCTACCAGTCCCATCATCAGGGCCATATTCTTATGACCTCATCTAATCCTAATTATGTTCCAGAGACCCCCACCACCAATTAATGTAAGAATTTGGGGATTAAGTTTCCAACACATGAAATTTGAGGGACACATTCACACCACAGCAACCTTCAAAGCCCAGCTTGTTTCAGTTGTGGTGGCCTCCTTTCAATTCCTTGCTCACTATCTTTATAAACTTTTTCTTTAATCTTTTTCCACTTAAATCTTAGTCTCCCAACTCATCCTTTATTCTTGGATTAAATTTCACTTCTCAGAGAAGTTTTCACAGCCATGTTATTTACAGTAATTATTACTATACCACTACCCTGCCCTGTTATTTTATCTTGTACTCTTATTTTCTTTTATGGCATATCTTAAAATTTGTTTGCAGATATTCATTTATGGGTTTGTATGATGCCTGTTTATACCACTGGACTATAAACTCAATGAGGGTAATAATTATGTTAATTTTCTTAACTAAGTACCCTATACCCATCTACAGATACCCTGGACAATATTAGTTATGTTATTTTTTTGAATGAAGAATGTAGGAATATATTATGATGTCAGTTGGGTGGAACTAGACTTTTTATGGAAACAGAAAAATGGCAGATGTGTTTGAATTTCTTGAATAAAACAAGAGATTGTAGTGCAGTACTCAGAATACTTGTCTAGGTCTTCTAAACCATGATTTCTGAAATAAACAAAAAGTAACAAATAAATTGGTTGAGAGGATAGTCAATCACTGCCGAGACCTAAATTCATAACCTGAAACACTATTTGGAAGAAACATCTCAAATTACACAGAGATGAAAAACATGAGATAACAGATAAGAGATTTGGAGAATAAACCTCAGCGACCGAAAGTACAAATAATAGGATTTCAGGAGGATTAAAAAAAAGAGAGAGAGAAGCAATAAGTGCCTATAGGAAGATTTCCCTGAGGGATGTGGGTAGGGCAAATTAAAATGACAGAAGTTCCAGTGAGATTTGGTGATAAAAGACACACCCACTTAAGTTCATTCTAATAAAATTATAGAGTTCCAGTGCTTTCAGATAAAAAGCAAAAAGGACCTGTATTACTTGGCCTGGGCTACCATGACAGAATGACAGACTTGTTGGCTTAAACAACATGAATTTATTTCCTCACAGTTCTTGTGGCCAGAAGTTCAAGATCAAAGCATCAGGAGAGATGGTTTCTAGTGATGCCTCTTTCTGGCTTGCAGACAGCTCTGTCCTCACGTTGCCTTTCCTCTGGGTGCACAAGCAAAGAAAGAGAGAGAGGAAGAGACAGACAGAGAGACAGAGAGATCTGGCATCTTTTTCTCTTTCTATCAGTCCTATTTGATTATGACCACACCCTAATGATGTCGTTTAACCTCTGTTACCTCCCAAAAGGCCCTATCTCCAAATGTATTGCATTGGAATTGGGCTTCAACATACAACATTTTGTGGGACACAATTTTGTACATAACAATGTTTATAATGGAAAAATGAGACCGCCATTGCTCTCTGATTGTCTAAAAGGCTGGAAGCTAGATGAGTTTGGGATAATATTTGAAGACTACTGAGAGGAAGGACTACAACTAAACTATCCTGTGCCTAGTCAAGTTATTATTTGTCTCTTGGGAGTAAAAGAAATATATTTACAAAGACATTAGAATTCAAAGAATAGATCGCTCAGTCCATCAGAAGAAAACACTCAATGACCAACTCCAACAAACAGATCCATCATAATAGAGATCTCAAGGTAAGGAAAAGGGAGGAAGAGAGAAATGTGGTGAGCAAAGAACCCTGGTTTACACATATAAATCTAAATGGATGGTGACAGACTTTCTAGTAATGTGAAATAGAATAATAATATGGTTTATTAAAATGGAGCATCTGCAAGGAAATTATAATAGATTACATCTGAACATATTTCATTAGCTCTGTGAAACCAGAGTCGGTTGGTAGATGGCAGGGAAAGGGAAGAAGTATTCTAAAAATGTCGTCCGTGTGAGACTTGAACAGTGGCAAGAAGGAAAGAAGAAAGATAAAAGTAGTGTAAGATTTCATCTCATAGAAGGGTAAGGAGATGAGGTTAATGGAATATTAGGTATAGGAAAGAGTGCGAATCATATTAGTAGATAAATAGGGTCCGATTATGAGTCCTTGAAAAGGGAAAGTGATCAGTTAGAATGTAAAGCGTGTACTACAGTTTCTAAATTTAAAAGTCAAGAAATGAAATAAATACCAACTTTAGTAAATTGGTGAAAAAAACAAACAAACCAAAACCAGGGAAAATAAAAAAGGAAATGACTAAAGACATTAGGTAGTAAATATAAAGATGGCAGGAATACAATTAATGTATAAATTTAGAAATGAATTAAATTCTTCCATTAGAAGCAAGAGATTGATAGTGTTAAAAATTGGATGAAAATGTGCTAGTTATTTAAAAATATATATTTAATACATTTTTAAAATTAAAAAAGTAAGAGATAAAGAGAGATATTAGGCAAATGAGAACAAAACTAACAGCAGAAGTGGCAATTACATTTTACCTAATACAATCTAGGTGAAATGAACTATTAAAAACACCAAACAGAGGGGCATAATATAATGATAATAAAGATAACTAATGTTGAAGATACTTCTATCATAAACTTCTACATACTAAATAACGGCTATATGTATAAATCTGTTAGAAAATCAAGGAGAATTTGATAAGCCTTCAATGTAGGAGAATATTTCACTAATTTTGAAATCAGAGAAAATTAAGGACATGAAGGAAATTAATAATATAGTAATTATATTCAATAATGTAGGCCCATATATGCGTAAAAGAAATAATATTCATTTTCTGTAGGTTCATGGGACATTTACATAAATTGAGCTAAACCTGATTGCCAAGAAGATTTGATAGGCCAAATATAACATTCAAAGATTACCAGAATAATGTCATCCACTTGGAAATTGAGAAACAATTCCAATAGATATTGGAATAGATATTCCTTAAATCATTAAGAAGATCAAACCAACAACACAGACTCCAGAAAGCAATGAAAAGAGTATTTAACAAAAATATAAAACAGCATTTTGATGAAATTGTAAATAAAAATATAATAACAAAATCTAAATTGAATCTAAATTACTCATCTCATGATTTTAGAAAAAGAACATCAACAAAACAAGACAACCAAAAAAAAAGACTAAGAAGAAAGAATTTATTTTAAAAAGTTGAAATTAATTAAAATTAATGCTAAAAATAGCAAAAAGGTTATAGACGTTAAAACAGATATTGCTTGAAAAATTATAAAATACCTCATGAGCCTGATGAGATACCTAAAAGAAGAAATAGGAGGAATTTGAGGAGGAGGAGGAGGAAAAGGAGCAATAAAGGGAAAAAACAAAGTACAGGATTAAGACTGAAAAAAATGTATTATCACAAACACAATGGTAGAGAAAAAATTAACAGGATAACAGAATACATGACAAACATTTGAAATCTTAGGAGAATGGATTATTTTTTAGAAAAAGATGTTATTAAAATTTATCCCCCCAAAAGTGACAACTTAAATTGATCAATTACTATAAAAAATGAATAAACAATTACATATCTCATACTGAAAAAGTCATCACATGGGTTCATAGCAAAATTCTATCTCATCTTTAGGGAAAAACTATTACACACCACCAAAAAGATGAAAAATTTTCTCAGATCATTTTAAGAAGGCTTTTTAGCTTTAATTCCAAAATTCAAATAGATACATTTTTTTAAAAAGAAAGTTGATTCAACAATAAAAAAGAATGAAATAGTAATACATGCTGAAACATGCATGACCTGAAAAACATTATGTCAAGCGAAAGAAGCAAGACGTGGAGACCACATAGTGTAAGATTTATTTACATAAAATGTTCTGTTTCTGTAGACACAGAAAACAGGTTAGTGGTGGCCTGGAACTGGAGGAACAGAAATTGGCTGCACATGGGCACATCTTTTCAAGGTGATGGAAACTGGATTGTGGTGATGGTTGTACAATTATAAATTTACTAAAAGTCATTGAATTGTATATATAAAATGGGTGAATTTTATAGTATGTAAATTGCATTTCAGTAAAGCTTTTGTTTGTTTGTTTGTTTGTTTGAGACAGGGTTTCACTCTGACCCAGGCTGGAGTGCAATGGCATGAACATGGCTTACTGCAGCCTTGATCTCGTGGGCTTAGGTGATCCTCCCACCTCAGCCTCCCAGGTTGTTGGGACTATACATGCGTACCAGCACACCCAGCTAACTTTTGAATTTCTTGTGGAGATGGTGGTTCACCATGTTACCCAGTCTGGTCTTGAACTCCTGGGCTTAAGGGATCTGCCCACCTTAGCCTCCCAAAGTACTGGGATTACAGGCATGAGCCACTGCATTTGGCCTAAAGCTCCTTCTTAAAGTAAATGAATATTAGATAAAGTAAATCAGGAATATTATTTATAAATACACATGCAAAAAGTATAAAATACACATGAAAAAATTCTAAAGTAAATCAAGATTATTTTTAAATACAAATGCAAAAATGTATAAATATACACGAAAAATATCTAAAATATAAACTAGTAGATTTTATGAAGATACATAAAGGTATTGTCATACTATGAAGAAACAGCATTTCTTTCAGGAAAGCAAATGAAAAAAGTCATTAGCCATTCTTTAGAAAGCAAAATGGGACTACCAATATATTAATTAAATTTGCCAACAGTCAATAGCAAATATTATTTCAATCACAAATCAGTAAAATTATTTTACTCTTAAATCAAGGACTAGATATAGATGCCTGTTGTTAGTCAATATTTTCTTGGAGGTTCTAAAAATGAAGTAGAAAAATGAAAAAGTACAAATATAAGGGATAAGTGATAAACCTATCTCTTTTAGATAAAATTATTTGATACCTAGAAAACTCGCTAGAGTATAGTTAAAAAGTTCTCCTTTGATTAAAAAGAATTTGGTAAGGTGGTTTGTGATGTGATAAAATTACAAAAAGAATATCTTTGATATATCAATAAGCATCCAGAAATTAAAGCAGAACAAAAATTACATTCATAATGGCAAAAAATATAAAATCTTAGGAATAAACATAAGAAAGTAACAGAAAATTTTATGATTTAAATTTTTACAAATTTGTATTAAATGATATAAATGAAGATCTGAACAAATAGACACCCAGTGATTGAAAAATTTTATAAAAATGCCAATTCTTCTGAAATCAATGCATAGTTTAATACAATGCCAATTATAATTCTAGTATATATTTTTTAATAACTGGATAAAATTATTCTAAGCACTTACATAAATGAAAGCCAGAGAATTGCCAAGAAAAGCGTGCAAAAGAAAACTAGAAACGGACAATATGACTTATATAAAAGATGATTCAAAATATCCATTCAAATCAGTTTCTCATTGTATTGGCATATTAACAGACACATAGATTAGTGTAACAGATTGGAAAATCCAGAACTATATGTAAAAATATGTGAAAATGTAATACACAATGACATTAATATTTGAACCAGTAAGAAAACATAGATTATTTACAAATGGTACAGGCATAACTGGCTATCCCTCCAGAAGAAAACACAGTTAATCCTTGTTTTACCCAAATCATAAAATAATGCTATAAAGATTAAAGATTGTGCTAAAAAATAATAAGACAATAAACATTATAAAAGTAATATTTAAGACACCTCATATGTTGTTTAGCATTTGCACATAGCAAAATATGTATAAGGACCATACAAAATTTAAGAACCTTTGTATGTAGCAAAATTCCAGAAAAAAAAAGAATAGAAAACAATGATGAATCTGGGAAAATTTTTAATATAAATGATCTGAGTTTATTTTATGTAAAGAACCCTTTCAAACATTCCAGTAGAAAGATTAGCAAAGAAGCAATGCACAAAAAAGCAATTCCAAATGGCCAACAAACATTAAGATACTCAACCTCACCAACTGTCAGTGAATGCAAATTAAAGTAATGAGATATCCCTTTATGCCCATGATACTGGCAGGCATTGAACAGAGCAATAACACCTATTGCTCGTGGGAAAAAGGGATACTTGAATATACTTCTGGCAAAAAATGTGCATTACTATAGCTCTTTTTGAAAACAGTCTGGCAATATCTATTAAATTAAAAATATTCTTTGACCCAGAAACTTATAGGAACATAACCCAGAGGAAAATATGCAGCAGGAGGTAAAGATACATGAACAAGAATATTTATTGCATCATTATTTGTTGTGCCAAAAGAGTGATAGCTTGGTGAATTCCTATTGGTAGTAGAATGAATGGATATTGTGAGTGTTAGAGAACATTATACAATGTAGTACTGTATTGCTTGAGTTGGAAACATTTCCATGATGTATTCAAGAAAAGCAGAATGCAAAAAAAAAAAAAATGGGTGTAAACAGTAGTAAAGCAGAGAGCCAAATCATGAATAAACTCCCATTCACAATTGCTACAAAGAGAATAAAATATCTAGAAATACAGCTAACAAGGGATGTGAAGGACGTCTTCAAGGAGAACTACCAACCACTGTTCAAAGAAATAAGAGACGACATAAACAAATGGAAAAACTTTCCATCCTCATGGATAGGAAGAATCAATATTATGAAAATGGCCATACTGCCCAAAGTAATTAATAGATTCAATGCTATTCCCATCAAACTACCATTGACATTCTTCGCAGAATTAGAAAAAAAATAGAAAAAAACTTCTTTAAATTTCACATGGAACCAAAAAAGAGCCTGTATAGCCAAGACAATCATAAACAAAAAGAACAAAGCTGGAGGCATCATGCTACCTAACTTCAAACTATACTACAAGGCTGTAGTAACCAAAACAGCATAGCATTGGTACCAAAACAGACATATAGACCAATGGGACAGAACAGAGACCTCAGAAATAACACCACACATCTACAACTATCTGGTCTTCAACAAATGTGACAAAAACAAGCAATGAGGGAAAGGATTCCCTATTTAACAAATGGTTCTGGGAAAACTGGCTAGCCTTATGCAGAAAACTGAAACTGGACCCCTTCCTTACACCTTATATAAAAATTAACTCAAGATGGATTAAAGATTTAAGTGTAAAATCCAAAACCATAAAAACCCTAGAAGAAAGCCTAGGCAATACCATTCAACACATATACATGGGCAAAGACCTCATCACAAAAATGTCAAAAGCAATTGCAACAAAAGCCAAAACTGAAAAATGGGATCTAATTAAAGAACTTCTGTAAAGCAAAAGAAACTATCATCAGAGTGAACAGGCAACTTACAGAATGGGAGGAAAATTTTGCAATTTACCCATCTGACAAAGGCCTAATATCCAGAATCTACATGGAACTTAAACAAATTTACAAGAAAAAAAAAACCCCATCAAAAAGTGGGCAAAGGATGTGAACAGACACTTCTCAAAAGAAGACGTTTACACAGCTGACAAACATGAAAAAAAGCTCAACATCACTGATCATTAGAGAAATGCAAATCAAAACCACAATGAGATACCATCTCATGCCAGTCAGAAGAGCAATTATTAAAAAGTCAAGAAACAATAGATGCTGGTAAGGCTGTGGAGAAATAGGAAGCGCTTTACGCTGTTGGTGGGAATGTAAATTACTTCAACCACTGTGGAAGACAGTGTGGAGATTCTTCAAGGATCTAGAACCAGAAATACCATTTGACCCAGCAATCCCATTACTGGGTATATACCCAAAGGAATATAAAGCATTCTTCTATAAAGACACATGCACATGTATGTTATTGCAGCACTGTTCACAATAGTAAAGACATGGAAACAACCCAAATGCTAATCAATAATAGACTGGATAAAGAAAATGTGGTATGTTTACACCATGGAATACTATGCAGCCATAAAAAGCAATGAGATCATGTGCTTTGCAGGGATATGGATGAGGCTGGAGGCTATCATCCTCAGCAAATTAACACAGGAGCAGAAAACCAAACACCGCATGTTCTCCCTCATAAGTGAGAGTTGAACAATGAGAACACATGGACACAGGGAGGGGAACAACACACACTGGGGCCTGTTTGTGGGGTGGGAAGCAAGGAGAAGGAAACTGGATGATGGGTTAATAGGTGCAGCAAACCACTCTGGCACACATATACCTTTGTAACAAACCTACATGTTCTGCACATGTATTCCAGAAATTAAAGTAAAAAATCACAAACAAGCGTGTAATATTATCTCATTTATTAAATGAAATACACACACACATGCACATACATGCATATATATGTACATATATATGTTTTCATATATCCATTATCTATCTGTATCTGAAGAAAAATATGAGATTATACATGCTGGCATGTTAAAATGTATCTCCCGTGCATAGCAACGGAGGATGATCCAGGTAAAGGGGTATGCAAAGGGGAATGAAGGAATCACAGCAAAACATGGGGAAAATAAACTAAAATCCAGCATGTGTGATTTGACCTCATCTGTGACAGACAGACTCTAACATGGCCCCACATTACTGCTTTTTTCTAGTATTCATACCTTGTATAATCTCTTCCTCTTGAATGTGGGTAGGCCTGTGATGTATTTCTAACCAATAGAATGTAGCAGAGTTGATGGGATGTCACTTTCACAATTACGTTACTTCTAACTTGTAGCTTCCATCTTGCTAAAAGACTCTTTATTGACTTTTTCCTTTGTTGGCTTCAATGACATAAGCTGCCATGTAAAAAGGTCCACGTGGCAAGAAACTGAGGGCAGCTTCCAACAGAGAGCAAGGAACTGAATCCTACCAACAACAACAGGAGCTTGGAAGTCAATCTGTCCTCAGTTGAACCTTCAAATGAGACCCCAGCCTGGCTAACACCTTGATTGCAGGCTTGCAGAGGATATAGCTTAGCTAAGCTGTGCCTGAACTCTTGACCCACAGAAAATATAAGATAAGAAATATTGTTCTAAGCTGCTAAATTTGTGGTATATGTGTATGCCACACTAGATAGCTAGTATATCATTTAGCCATTTATATAAAATCATATATGTGTTAGAAAAATTAAGCACAGCTACTATTTATTGAAAACCAACAACCCTCCAAAAACTATTTATATCAAAGCCTGATGAAAAACCTCTGTGAAATAATATCACTTCCATCTCACAAGAGAGGAACCTGAGACTTGGAAGTTAACTTACAGGAGGTCAGGTAGCTGGTGTTTGGCCAAGTGGAGGTTAGAACCCTGGATGTCCAACTCAGAAGTCCCTTTGTTTTGTGTATGTATGTAAGTGCTTTTCACTCATCCCATTGGCAGTCCAAACAGGCAAAATATCTAGATTGTCCATGGTCCATTTCTCTGAAAAACTGCTACAAGCCCTCTAAGCTTCTAAGCCCTAAAGACTAAAGATGCTTGCTGTACAGGACAGGTGGTCCCCGATGCATGCCTAAGCAGCCTTTTGGCTTATGTATACTTAAAATGTTACCTAAAACCAACAGGGCAGCTCAGGGGGTGGCACTGAGCTCTGCACTTCAGAGCATAAAGAACAGTATTTCCACATGCCTGAAAGCCAAAAGACAGAAGCAACAAAATGTGTGAGACAGAGCAAGACATGTAGACAGAATGTCAGTAGTTGCAGAAAGAAGCTTTAACTTAGTGTTTTCTAAGAGGATCCAGTGAAGATGTTAAATGAGTGTTTATAGAAAGCCATATAAAAGAATCAATGGTCAACTAGTTTGCAAAACGCTGAGTTGAAATTAAACAAATGTCTCTTATTGCAAGTTTTCCCAGAAAATTTAATATGCTAATATACATTGAGCATTAACATTAATTTAAATATATTTAAATTCAGAAAATTTGGTTTTGTACAACCAATTTCGTACAATATTGCATAACCAATATTAATGTACAAAATGGTTGAACATTTTGTATATGAATACTGCATTTTCAAAAAATGAAAAGTGGAAAATGCTTTTGTATTCTTTCTGCCTGCTTCAATACATGTTCCCCTGTCTCTCTCAAGCTGATTTGACGTTGCGCTTTCTCTCTCCTCCTCCTAAACTTGTGTCATTTGAAAGCAGTGAACTACTCTGGGAACAGAAATTGTGATAACCATTTTAGAATTTTCTCTAAATATTGCCTAAAAGATCCAAAATATATATTGGAATTAGACAAATAATTTTTCAGAAACAAAATCTAGTGTATCTGTATTCTTCAAAAACTAAAGACATCAATTCTAGGCATTATCTCCAAAGACTAAACACTAAAGAGATATTAGTTCTAGAGGAGACCTAGAGAAGCGTAAGGAACTAAGTCAAGGTTTTGATATTTATTAGCAACAATATTGATAATATTGCTTTATATATGTGCACTTTGAATATTACATTCATAACCCTAACCTCATGTAATTACCACAATGATTCACTGGGATTTATCTATTATTAGTTCCAATTTTAGAGATTTTGTTTTAAAAAAGAAGAAACCATAAGAGATTATATGCTCAAGGTTATAATTCTATCAAATGAGATAATTAAAATTGAAAATAGATTTTATTTTTGGTAAAGTTTGTAAGGAAAATGTTTTACATTCTGGGTGACTTTCACAGATCAATTTAACAATTCGTTAATTCACCCTTCAGCTATATCCAGTCGACCATTCAAATTGACCACAGAAGTTTTGTTCTATTTTTTTAACATCTTTTTTTTTTAACCTTGAAATTTGATTTAGTTCTTAAAATTAATGGCTTGTTTTGGCTTTGTTTTTCCCCTTCCTTTCCCTGTTTTATAAAATTAATTTGAATGTTTTAATCATGCCTATTTAAAAGCCCTTTTATGTTGTTCTTTCCTCTTAGTTTTGGAATGCACATTCTCATCTCTTTCTCTGTGACTCTCCCTCATGGTAGTTGATTAACTCATGGCTATGAAATTTTGCAATGTAAATGCAATTCTACCTTCACGTGTTTCTGTGGCATTCTCACATCTCTTGGGTGGGAGGTTAGGGAGAATAGAAAGGAACTCATGGATTTTCAAATCCTAGGCTAAGTTTTGTACCATTTTGTCTGCTTATAGATGATATCTGCTTAGGTATGATAAGAGGATCCTGTGAAGATGTTAAATGAGTGTTTTATAGAAAGCCAAATAAAAGAATCAATGGTCAACTAGTTTGCAAAATCCTGAGTTGAAATTAAACAAATGTCTCTTATTGCAAGTATACATTTGGGAAGTATAAATTTGGATTTCAAAAACACATATGATGTAACCCTCAACTCTTTGTTGTTTGCAGGTAATTCCTTTTACACACATAGCTCCCGTAAGACGTTAAATTTCTTTACCTCTTACCTATGCACCTGAGAAGTTTTGTTTTTGGGTTTTTTTTTAAAGTCATGTTTCAGGTATGGAATAATCTTTTGTAAAAGCCAGCTTAGTGCTACCTAGTAGTTCCAGCTCCCTTTATTCAGGAATCTGTGGTTTTTATCCCCCCAAATTAGCAGGAAATTCATCAGGAGCCTCACTTTCAGCTGTTGCTCATTGCCCCACCTCTCTGTTTCCTCTTGGTTTCTTTCAGTATGTACTTGAGAGTTTTCCTTTCTTGATTACTGGTTCAGCTGTTTCTGTTTATTGATTATGTCTGTCTATCTATCTATCATCTGTTCATCCATCCATCCATCCATCCATCCATCCATCCATCCATCCATCCATCCGTCTATCTACTCATTAAGTTAGTTAGTCAATTGTTTATGGTTTAAACCAGGAAAGGAAGTTTCTTCTTAGCCATATTAAATTGGTATCTCTCCCCTGTGTCTTAAATCACATCACTTCTCAATCTTTCACTTTGCAATCTGTAAAATAATTGATATTATGGAAACAGTAATTATAGCTTGTTCATAAAATCAAAGAAGACTGGATTTAGAAAGCAGATTATGAAATTGAAAGAAGCAGTTTAAAAATAAATGAAAGGAAATATTATATTACTACTTTCCACAACAGATAGCAAACTTACAAAAGTGCTTCTCTAAGTGGTATTTTAGTTCAGTTAATGATGTGTTAGGCATCTTAGGAGGTAATTCATGTGAAGGACTGTCTTTATTAAATCACAGATGTACTCTGAGCAATATTCTGTGTTGGGCAGTGAGGATGCTGTGGTTAACAGCTAGGTAGGGTTGATGTCATGTGAAAAATGCAGTGTAGTGAGAGTCAGTAGCGTGAAAATCTCAGGGGACAAGGAATGCATAGCAGGCCAGAGTAGAAGTCTCAGAACAAATAATTTTTAAGCCAAAATTTGAAAGATGAAAAGGAGATGGTGATTTCGGTTTTGGTCACATCAAGCTTAGTGAAATCCTTTCAAGTGTGGATACCCAGTAGTCAGTTGAATAAACATGTCTGGAGCTTAAGTGACAATTCCGGATTGCAGATATTGATTTGGTCCTCCAGTTGAATGGTAATGTATTCGTCTATCATGTTTAATTTTAATTCCGTTTATATGCTATCCATGAATAATGTTTCAAAATCCAAAATATACTGAAGTCTGCACAATAAAAAGTGAGTCTTCCTTCAACCTCTGTCACCCAAATATCCAAGTACCCTCCCAAATACAGCCATTGCTACCAGTTTCTAGTGCAACTTCCCAGAGAGTAGTATATCCATGTTCATATTTCACACATATCATATCATATTATTCAAACCTTTCTGCATGTTGCATTTGGACTTAGCATTATATTCTGATGATAATTTTATATCAGTCCATATGGAGCTTCCTTATCTGTTTTTATTTTTGGACAATTATATATTATTCTATTATGTGTATCAATTAGTCCCACAGTTGTAGATGTTGTTTCTCATCTTAAATGATATTTTTAAAATGTAAATCTCAGCTATATATCTTCCTAATTAAAAGTCCTAAGTAGGCAGGGCGCGGTGGCTCACGCCTGTAATCCCAGCACTTTGGGAGGCCGAGGCGGGCGGATCACGAGGTCAGGAGATCGAGATCATCCTGGCCAACATGGTGAAACCCCATCTCTACTAAAAATACAAAAAATTAGCCGGGCGTGGGGACGGGCACCTGTATTCCCAGCTACTTGGGAGGCTGTGGTAGGAGAATGGCGTGAACCCAGGAGGCGGAGCCGAGATCGCGCCACTGCACTCCAGCCTGGGCAACAGAGTGAGACTCTGCCTCAAAAAAAAAAAAAAAAAAAAAAAAAAAAGTCCTAAGTAGCTTCTCGTATGATATTCAGAATAAAATACAAACTTTTCACCCTAGCTCACAAAGCCATTGTTATCTGGTGTCTGCCTTCTCCCCTGACTGTATCCTATACTCCTCTTTTGCTAGCTCACAATGGTCTAACCAAGTTAGCTTCTTTCTCTTTCCTTGCTATATCAAGATCTGCTTGCTTTACAGGTTTTGCAACTCTATACTCTTCCTGGCATGCTGTTCTCCCCAACTTTTATGTGACCAACTTCTTCAGATTTTATGACTAGTTAATGTAAAGTAGCCACCCAGTCACATTCTATAAATTGTCACCCTATGTGAATTGTCTACATAGCATTGTAAGTCAAAAATGAACATGAACTATGAACCTCGAGTGTGGCAGCCATGGGAACAAATCTCTCAGATCTCTAACTGCAGGGAGTTGGAGTGGTGGGTGGGGGATCCAGCTGGTGTGCTCTAATATCTATGGCTTCATTTATACCAAGCCCACACTTCCCTTGGGCTGCTCCAGACAATGACTGATAATGGCAGGAATAGTAAGGCAGGCCTATTCTTGGGAGATATGGGGCTCTGTTGATAGGGAACTTTCATTTGAGGACTCTTAAATGGCCTTAAACTTTTCTTGGAATTGTACTACAATTTAGGATACTTCCACTCAACCTTTCTTCCTTCTTTTCTTCTCTTCCTCTTTTCCTTACTCAGGGATGAATTCATGGATGTGTGTCCCATGACTCTCTCCTCAATTTCATTCATAGACCATCCCATAATAGATTTTTTATTTGCATGTTTAATATCGTATTGGCTTCTGCTTCTTGGAGGATCAGGACTAAAACATCAACAAACATTAACATATCAATATTGATTGAGAAAGTGAATCTCACAAAAGAGATAGAATAGGCATGCTCAGAGCAGTAAAAAGAAATAAAATCTTGCATCATTAGAAGGAACAAAAGAATATCTCAATAGGTAAGTAGCTATGAAAAGTATACATTGCTCTTGTAAAATAAACACACTTAAGACTTCAAGCATCAGGCTTTTCTAAGCATGAGTCATCAGTGATCTTGTTGAAGACATTATCATTGGAAATGTGAGGGTGAGGACTAAAATATAATTGTTTAAGGAGTGAGTGTAAGGCGAAGAAATGGTAGGCAAAAAGTATAGACAATTCTTTTAATACAGTTATATAAAGGAGAGGAGAAAAGTAAAGTGGCAATATGAGAAGGAGGAGATGGATATCAAAAGGTTTTTGGGTGTTTTTGTTTTTGTTGTAGGATAGAAGAGATTGCAGCATGTGAGAAAAATCTAGTAATGGTTGATAAATTGAAGACAGGAGAAAGGATAACTAAAGGAATAAAATTCTATAGGTTATTGGAGTTGACAGGATCCAGAATACAGCTGAATTTATTGGCTTTAGCTCTTCTCTTTGTCAGAGAAATAAAGGAGGAAAAGTAAATGTTGGTACTAGAGTTGAGTTGAGAAGTTAAATTATGTCTTCCAATGGAATATTTTTTTCTCTTTCTCCATGAAATAAAACCCAAAGCTATCTGTTGAGTGAGAGGGAGAAGAAAATGGGAGTCTTGAGGAAAATGGGATGTTTCAAAATTATTTTATAGGAAATGGAAGAGCAAATTGACACATTCCAGCTGTTACTGGGGACTATACATTTATAAATGCCTATCTGTTTAATTATGGAATTGTATCCAGCAGTATACAGCTGCCCATGTGCAAAAGTGAACACATAAACCAGCTATGTTCATTCAGTTATGGGCTTTGGCCAGACTTCAGTGATGGAAAGGCGCTAACTAACACAAAATCTTAGGGAACTGGTAAAAATGGGGAAGCGTCAGACCTTGAACTATTAGCAAAATAAGAAGCAGAGTGAAGAAACAAAGAGGCTTACATAATAAGAAAAAATCAAATAACTGGAGACCCAATAAATTACAAACAGAAAATGTTTTAGAAATAATTGGAAGAACCTGAATGAAAGATGACTGAACAAATTTAAGTGTCTGAATTTAATTATCAAGAAATGGCAGCACTTTAAGGGATTGAGAATGTCTAAGATGTGCACATGAGGAATGGTAACTTGCAGGATATGGAAAAGAAATACACAGGAGATGAAGAGGGCAAGGAATTGAGACATCAGGGAATTGAATGGGCCACCCAAATGGACATTTAAATAATCCAAGATAATGACATGAGTATAAGGTGAAATAATAAAAGATGAGTCAATGTCTTACAAAAATAAAGAGGATGATACTGATGAGGAGGCATGAAGGTGACCCAGCCAAATAACATGAACCTAGAAGCAAAAAACAAATAAAAATTTATCAGAAGAGGAAAAAGATGCCTGTATAGACATAAAATATATAGAAGATGCTTACAAACGTTTGGGACTCGTGACCCAAAGTCTTCAGGCAGAATATGCTCTGCTTCAGATTCTAGAGAGTATTGGATGGCCTGGGCCCTGGTCTTTGCCATATGTCTATGATGACCATGTTTTCAGAATTAAAAACTGAAACTTATAATGTGGCAATTATAGATGTACTTATAAAACGTTGTGACAGAACATTGAAAGTGGGCCTGGCAAAGAAAATGAGGAGCATACGGTATCCATAATTAGGGTATGGCTTACAGTTCAATGTGACAAAAAATGGGATGTAGAAACAGGGTCTACCAAACATTCGTCTCTCTGCTTCAGTTTTCTCTTCCGAGGCATGATTCTTTGATTGCCTAGCCCAAGCTAGAATAGGCACAAAGAAAAACAAGAAACCCAGTAAAAAATTCTTTAGATTTCTGAGTTATGATTTTTTTAATTAAACTTTCTAGCAAATGAGGAACATGCACTTGAATATAGATGTGCTCAAGTGTTTTTTGTTGTTTTTGTTTCTTTCTGTCATCCATTCAGCAACACCTTTTGCCACCTACTATATACCAGGCATTGAATTATATCTGAGAGTCAGTGATGAATACACATGGTTCCTTTTCCCATAGGGCTCACACTAAAAGAAAGACAAATGGTAAAAAAAAAAAAAAAAAAAAGTAAAACTATAATACAGTGCAATAATTCCCCAGTAAAGTTGTAAACATTGCCTTAAAATCAAGAAAACAGAATGGTTTATTTTGCCTTAAATTACGATTAAGCATAATAATAGCTACCATTTATTGAGCTTCCTACCCTCTGCCGGGTGCTGTCTGTACACTTCACTTTTATTTCCACGACCTTATTAATCTTAACATCAGTACAAGGTGAATATTTTCATTATTATAGTGTATGAATATATTAAGTAGTATAAAGGATAAATAAGTTATCCAAAGATAAGTCACAAAATTGGAATGTGAACTCCTGACTATCTGACCCAGAAGACTCATGAGTTATTTTAATGCCTCAAATGCATGATATTTAAGTTTTAGTCTTATGCTAAATCTTTAACCAGACTTGAGATTCAAAATGACATGATTGCTGATATACTTCTGAGACCTTTAAAGACTACCTAGGTATCTGCAATTTTTTGTTGTTCCCCTAATGCTTTTCTAAGTGACAGCACTAGCTCTGAAGTTTTTATCTCCTGAGGCCATGGCAGACATTGCTAATAAATCATGGCACTAGTCAAATGAGCAGAATGGGTCCCAGTGCTCTTTCATTTGGTACCTCAGGTAGACATGATTAATTGATCAACATCAACAGTAAAAATAAACATATTTGCTTGCCATCTCTGTTCTAAAAGGTAAACCACCGTGGTTAATACAAATTTAGGAGGAAGACACAGTATTAAAGCAAGGTAAGATAGAGAAGGCCCATGAAAAATAGCTAGATGAAGATTTAGCACATCGTAGGGACTTAAGAGTTAAGTAGGCTCTTGATAAATATATGCTGAATGCAACTAAAGAGAGATCTTTTCCTTTCCTTTCTTTTGTCCACATTATTTAATTTGTTGAATTTTTATGATATATCAGGAGGGCTTATAAATAGCCCCTCTACTTCTTTTTTTGAGAATATGAAGACTTCAACATGACTTGCTCTAGGATGACCAAAGGAAGGGGATCTGAATGAGCCATCTCAGAGGCTCCAAGGTGCCTGCTTCAGAACACTGATGGATAGCTACATGTGGGCTGAAGGTAATGAGGTTGGTCAGCTGGAGGGCTTTCACCAGGCCCTTAATCTGTCACCCCCTTGACACCTGCCTTCCCCTGAAAAGTGACAAATGATACATTGAGCCGTGGTGGTAATGTAAACCTCAGTGTATTCTAGAATCCCACATCTACTGTTCTTATGACAAGCACGTCTTTTATGTATTATTTATTTTTCTCTGGAAGCTCTGTCTAGACATAGTCTTAGTTTCCAGGGATATCCCATATCTTTAATGCACTCTTCCAGGCTTGATGAACAAAGTACAGGGTAGGCAATGGGTTTTTCTGGAGCACTGAGTTAGGATTTGTTCAGAATCTGAACTATGATTCACTCTGAATATACACCCCTTTTGCATATACCAGGACATAAGGATCTTAACAATCCCTGACTCTACGCAGTCGGTGTGAATTCGTTTCACTAAGCAAGTAATACTTAAAGATGACATTTCTATGTCCTTTCCTCAACTGATATTAAATGGATGGAATTCTATCAATATATAAAATATATTCTATTTCTAAATATGTAAAATGGCACCTTTCTCCAGCCCCCTGCTTTCCTTATCACCCTTACCTGGGCTTTTTCTTTCCTTTTCCTTCATAATACTAATAATTTCTGACTTATTATTTATTGATTTGATCTTTGTTTATTGTTTCTCTTTTCACACTAGCATGTAATAGAACAACAATTTTGTCCTTTTTGTTACAGTAACCTTGGAACATTGTACTTCCTTATTCATATTGGTTGAAGTCTGAATGAACTACTAGTACCAAAATAATTCCTTAAAGCAGAGAAGTTTTCATGGTGAAGTGGTAAGAATAGTGAATCTGGAGTCAGCCTGTTTAAGTAATTTTTCTTCTGGGCTTACCACTTTTATGTGTGTGCATGTGTGTGCATGCATGAGTGTGTGTGTAAGTGACTTGGTCTAAGACTCCGGTTTCATGTCTGAAAGCAAAGAACATAATTCTTGTTCTACCCTGTGTCACAGGATTTCCATGAGGATCATATGTTGTGAAAACATCTTGAGAACCCTAAAATGCTATACAAGCATCAATTGTAGTCACACTATAATGTGATCATAAACTCAGGAATAAATAGCTGGTGGTGTCTGGGTAGCACCATAAATGTGCAGAGCTTCCAGGAGGAAGACAATGAGGCCTCGGTGGCTGAGGGGTCCTTCGGAAGTGTTTTCTTGTCTAGTCTCCTGCTTTTAGCCTCCCTCCAACTCCTTCCCTCTATCTTTTCATTCTTCCTTTCCCTCTTCCCTTCTCACTAGTATGCATACTTTAATTTGTTCAAACAACAACGTAACATTCTGCTTAAATTAAATTAATTAACAGTTTATGCCAATTACAGATTTATACTGTTAAGGTGAGTTAGGAGTTGAATTTTTTTTTTAAGTTCATTCAATGAAGATGAAAAACACCTTTCTATTTTGCTGTACTGAACCAGTCTATTTCTCTTTTTTTTTTTTTTTTTTTTGAGATGGAGTCTCTGTCGTCCAGGCTGGAGTGCAGTGGCACGATCTTGGCTCACTGCAAGCTCTGCTTCCCGGGTTCACGCCATTCTCCTACCTCAGCCTCCGGAGTAGCTGGGATTATAGGCGCCCACCACCACACCCGGCTAATTTTTTTTTGCATTTTTAGTAGAGACAGGTTTTCACTGTGTTAGCCAGGATGGTCTTGATCTCCTGACCTCGTGATCCGCCCTCCTCGGCCTCCCAAAGTGCTGGGATTACAGGCGTGAGCCACCGCGCCCAGCGTGAACCAGTCTATTTCTAGTCAAAACTTGAGTTTGGCTTAACTGCAAGTAATCACAATTTTAGGTAGAATCATAGTCTTTCTCATGCAACAGAAATGGTGGATGAGCATATTGATGCCTGGACTCAAAGCCTCTCCAGGCTACAACTTTGAATCTACTGGTGTCTCTCTGTTGCCAATAGGAAAAAGGATTAGGAGTGTTCTTAATCCACATAGACAAAGGTTGGACTTGGACACTCTTTGTAGCTGGGGAAAGACTCAGAGCTTTGGAGTCAGACAGAGCTGATGTTGAGTCAAGTTTGGCACTTGTTAGTAATGTATCTTTGAACAAATAAGTAAATCCTAAAAAAACAATGATATTTACCTTAATGGAGTGAGAGTTAATGGTTAAACTAAATGTAAAGTGGGCATGGATTCTATGCCAAGAGCAATGGTCAGCGTTTAGGGTACTGTGAATAACATCACAGAGATAAGGTCCTGCCCTCATGAACTCACTGTCTCTAGATTCTCTTTTTCCCCATTTTTTTTTTTTTTTTTTTTGTCATTTCTGACATGTGGGCTCCAGCACACAACCTCCAGATACATACTGTTTTATTCCCAAGATAATTCAGACTTAATGGGTTATTGTCACTGCCAATAATCCAGTTAATAAATATGAGCAATTTGTTCTAATTCATTTTAATAAGCTTATATAAAGATGGGAGGATGGAGAATAATCTCAGAGGAACTTTCAGTTGACTAGAGCTTCCAAAAGCACAGAATGAAATAAGCTGGTGATATATAAATTGACTTTAGATTGTACACCAACAGTACATTTAGTCTTCCTACATATTTTACTTTATTTACTAGAGAAAAACCATCATAAGCCCATCAAAATCATAACTGAATTTATGTATATCACTACTTAGTAGAAAAAGTGAAATGAATTTAAAATATTAAGTAATTATACAGGTATTACAATTACTTAATATTACAGAGATGGTGAAAAACCTGAAGGTAAAATTTAACTAGATTAGAGGGTGGAATATTTTGGCTAAAATTTACTCTGAACACCTATAAATCATGATATCGGATGAGAACATCACAGAAACATGGCTGAGGCTTGGATGTTCTGAGAGCATTGTTACATAAGAATTTACTGACAGACCTGAGGATGATTGATTCGGAGAAAAGATCATTAAAGGAATATATGAACATTTTATTTAGATATGAAATACTGTTCTGTTGAAGAAGAAGCAAACTTATTCTCATCTGATCCAGAGAAAAGACTAGGATTAATGGTCTACAATTTCAGGAAAGCAACTCTTTTAATCAATATAAGGGTGACCTTTTTAATAATTAGAATCATTTAGAATCAAGTTCTGGTCAGCTTCCTTGAGTTTCTCCTCTTCCTCCTTTCTGAATTCATAGTTTTTCTAAACATTCCAGGTTCCTTTTCAACTGTCTCTTGTGCCAAAGTCACTCATACAAGGTTTCTTTTCCTTTCTATTTCCTCTGCATGGACATTAACGGAAATATTCTATGTAGAGCATAATCACATCTTAAATGCTTAGCCACTGTTAATACTGGATCAATACTTTAAAGGTACAAATGATTTTTATTTGAAGTTAGATTTTCTGCATCTTGAAATAGTCTACAGTCCCTTCACAAAAGCCTGCTTTTTTGTTGTTGTTGTTTGTTTGTTTGTTTTTTGGTTATACTTCAAGTTCTAGGGTACACGTGCACAACATGCAAGTTTGTTACATATGTCTACATGTGCCATGTTGGTGTGCTGCACCCATTAACTCCTCATTTACATTAGGTATTTCTCCTAATGCTATCCCTCCCTCCTCCCCTCACCCCATGACAGGACCTGGTGTGTGATGTTCCCTGCCAATCAACATAATTTTGAACTCCTCTTGTCTGTAGCTATGTAACTAGCTCAGAAAAAAATAAGTCTGAAAATGTGGCCTTGCTTTGCTCACATGACCTTGAGCAGAACATTTCCCCTTTCTGGGTTTCAGTATCCTCATTTTCTACAATTAATCATTTGGACTAGATGATCCCTAGAGTTTCTCCATACTCTAATTTTCCATGATTCTATTAATCAGCATTCCCTCCAGTGGTGTAGGCAAACTCTTAATTATCCAATGAAACTTTGATAGATTCTGTGTAAATAGTTGTAATTCTTTCTTTGTGTTGTATTCATTTAGGCTCTGCCTAAAATAAATAGTCAGCTATCTAATTTAAAATTGTATCCTCAGTCTGCTTAGTATTTATGTGTAGGTCTCATTGAGAGATAACAATTGGGGTCGGGGGAATACTTTATCCACAAATGTGAGCTTTGTTCACAATATTGAACTTAAAAACCAACAGAAAGATCTCTTAAATTTTATTTTAAATCTTTTGGCAAGAACTACAACTGGTTCCATGTCTAGGTGAAAATAATAACATTTTTCTCTTTTAAGAAATTGATAATTTTATGTCTTCCCTAGAAATCCAAATATAGATCAAAGAAGAAAAGTTTTGGTGAAAAGTTGCCTATATATTTTAATAAAATATATACTGGGATATAATTTATATACCATACAATTCACAGATTTAAATATATAATTCAATTTTTTTAGTATATTCCCAAAATTCTGAAACCATCACATTAGTCAATTTTAGGACATTTTTGTCACCCCAAAAAGAAACCCCACACCCATTTGTAGTGAGTTTCCATCCTCTTCTTCCTCCTCCCCCAACTGCCCCAGTCCTAGGCAACCATTAATATACTTTGTTTCTATAGATTTGCCTATTCAAGACATTTTGTATAAATAGAATCAAACAATGTGTCGTCTTTTTTCACACATTGGCTTCTTTGTGTTAATTTATTGGCGTAATTGGCTTCTTTCACTTAGTATACATTTTTAAAGGTTCATGAATGTTGTAGTATTTATCAGGACTTTCTTCCTTTTTATGGCTAAAGAATATTTAATTTCATGGATATACCATATTATGTTTATCCATTCATGGATTTAGGGACCTGTGGGTTGTTTCCATCTTTTGGTTATTATAAATAATGCTGACAGAAACATTTATTTACAAGGTTTTGTATGGATGTATGTCTTAATTTCTCTTGGGTGTATACCTGGGGGTGGAATTGCTGAGTCAAGTGGAAGCTTTATGTTTAACTTTTTGAGGCACTGTCAGTCTCTTCCAGAATGTCTACACAATTTTACATTTCCACCAGCAATTAATGCGGGATCTAACTTCTCCACATACTAACCAACACTAGTTATTATCCATCTCTTTTATTAGAACCATCCTAGTGGGTATGAAGTGGAATCTCATCGTGATTTTGATTTGTATTTCCTTGATGACTGATGATGTTGAGCACATTTTCATGTATTTATTGGTCATTTGTATATTTTCTTTAGAGAAATGTCTGTGGAGACCTTTTGCCCAATTTATTTGAGTTGTTTGTCATTTTAATAATTAATTTGTAGGAGTTCTTTACATATTCTAATGCTAGTTTCTTATCAGATATATGATTTGATTTGAAAATACTGTTTTCCTGTTCTGTGGGTTGTTATTCACTTTCTTAGTAGTGTCCTTTGAAGCAAAAAGTTTTTTCTTTAAGTTTGAAGGAATTGAATTTATCTATTTTTTTTTTCTCTTTTTGCTTGTGCTTTGGTGTCATGTCTAAGAATCCATTGCCAAATTAAAGGTCATGAGAACTTACTTCTGTGCTTTCTTCTAACATTTTATAACTTTAGCTTTTCTATTTAGGTCTTTGATCCATTTTGAGTCCATTTTTGTATACAAAGTGGGGTAAGGATGAAAATTATTATTTTCCATATGCAATCCAGTTGGCTCAGAGCTGTTTATTAAACACACTATTCATTTTTCATTGAATAGCCTTGGCACCATTGTTGAAAATCAATTGACCTTGGATAATATGGGTTTACTTCTGAATTTTCAATTCTATTCCATTGATCCATATGTTTTTCCTTATGCTAGAACCATACTGTGTTGATTACTGTCACTTTGTAGTATATTTTGAAATTAGAAAGTGTGAATCCTCCATTTTTTTTCTTTGTTAAGATTGCTTTGATTAATCTGAGGTCTTGAGTTTCTATATGAATTTGGGGGTCATCTTGTAAATTTCTACATAGAAATGAACTGGAATTGAGATAGAAGTTGTGTACAATATGCAAATTAATTTGGAAATATTACTATTTCAATCATTGTCTTGTAATTTATGAACATGAATGTCTTTCCATTTATTTAGATCTTTTTACTTTTTCTGATTAATGTTTGATTTTGTCAGAGTGTAATTTTTATACTTTAATAAATTTATTACTGTTTAGTTTTTTTATGCTATTACAAATAGAATTATTAATTTTAATTTTAGGATTGTTTATTGTGTATTAACAATTGATTTTGATTCACTGATTTTATATTCTACCATCTTGCCAAACTCTTTTATTAGTTCTGATAGATTTTAGTTGATTCATTGGGTTTTCACATAATTGTTTATGAAAAAATGTATATATATAGATAAATAATGAATGTTATGTGCAAGTAGAGATAATGTTACTTTTTCCTTTCAAATTTAGCTGTCTAGTATTTCATCTTCTTGTTTCATTGCCTGGCTAGAATTTTTACTAAAATGTTAGATAGAAGGGTGAGAGTACATATCTTTTTCTTCTTCCTAATCTTAGAGTGAAAACATTCATTCTTTTACCATTATGCATGATATTATTTATGGATTTTCATAGATATACTTTCTCAGGCTGAGGAAGCTCCCTTCTACTTCATTGAGTGTTTTATTATGAAAGGCTGTTGGATTTGGTCAAATTTCTTTTCTGCATCTATAGAGATAATCATATGTTTTAAAAAATATTTTATTATATTGCTATTGTGTATTATATTAATTAATTTCTGGGTTTTAAACCAATCTTGCATTCTTGGAACACATTGCACTTGTGCATGCTCTATAATCTTTTTTTAATGTTGCTGGATTTGATTTCGTAGTATTTTGTTGAGAATTTTTATGTCTATATTAATAATATATATCAGTCTGTAGCTTTCTTGTAATGTCTTTGCCTGATTTTAGTATCACTGTAATACTGACCTCAGAAATAGTTGGAAACTGTTTCTCCTCTTCTAATATTTTTAAAAAAAGAGTTTGAAGAATTGATATTAATTCTTCTAAAAAATTTAGGTAGAATTCACCAGAGCAACTACCTGAACCAGGGCCTCTCTTTGTGAGTTGTCTTTCTTTCCTTTATTTCCTTTCTTTATTTCCTTTCATTCTTTCCTTTTCTTTCTTTCCTTTCTTTTCTTTCTTTCTTTCTTTTTTTTTTTTTTTAAACAGGGTCTTGCTCTGTTACCCAGACTAAAGTGAAGGGACAGGATCATAGCTCACTGTAGTCTCAAATTCCTGGGCTAAAGGAATTCTCCTGCCTTAGCCTCCTGTGTAGCTGAGACTACAGGTGCCCACACCACCATTCATGCCTAATTTTTATTTTTAGTTCTGTAATACAGGGTTTTAGTATGTTGCCCAGGCAGATCTCAAACTCCTGGCTTCAAGCGATCCTCCTATCTCAGCTTTCCAAAGTGCTGGGATTACAAGTGTGAGCCACCACACCCAGCCTCAGCGTAGTTTTTGATTACACATTCAATCTTTTTACTTTTTATAGGTCTATTCATATTTTCTAATTATTCTTGAACTAATTTGAATAGTTTCTGTCTTTCTAGGATTTGGTCTATTTCATCTAGGTTATCTAATTTGTTGATGTGTAGTTGTTCATAGTATTGTCTTAAATATTTTTTATTTCTATAAGGTTGGTAGTAATGCTCCCTCTATTATTTCTGCTTTTAGTAATCTGAGTCCTTCTCTTTCTCTCTCTGTAAATCTCCTTAAAGATTTACCAATTTAGTTAAACTTTTCAGAGAAGAAACTTAGTTTCATTAATCTTATCCACTCTTCTTTAATTCTCCATTTTATTTATATCCACTCTTATTTTTACTGTTTTCTTTCTTATTTTGGCTTTGAGATATAGTTCATTTTTCTTTTTCTAGTATCTTAGGTAGAAGATGGGGTTATTGATTTGTGATCTTCTTTAATATAGGTGTTTATAGCTATAAATTTCCTTCTGAACACTACTTTTGCTGCATCTCATAATTTTTGGTATGTTGTGTTTCATTCAACTAAAACTATTTCTCATTTCTTTTGTGGTTTATTCTTTTAATCAGTGGTTATGTTAGGAGTGTGTTGTTTAATTTCCACATATTTGTGAGTTTCCCAATTTATTTCTGTCATTTCATCTTAAAGAACTTTTGTAGTTTTTCTTGTAAGGTTGGTCTGTTAAGCAACAAATTCTCTCAGTTTTTGTTGGTCTGGGAATGTCTTATTTTTACTTCATTTATGAAAGATGTCCTCCCAGTAGGTGTATGTTGCTGCACATAAGATTTTTCAGCATTTCTCTGAGGCTCTGTTTATTTTTCTTCATTCTTTTTTCTCTCTGTTCTTCAGGGTGTTTAATATCTATAGATTTATCTTCAAGTTCACTAATTTTTTCCTTCTGGCAATTCAAATATGCTTTTGAGCATCTGTAGTGAATTTATCTTTTTAGTTATTGTATTTTTAATTCCAGAATTTCCATTTCCTTTTTTAATAATTTCTTTTTATTAATATTATTTATGATACACTGTCATCATACCTTCTTTAACATCTTTAATCATGGTTTCCTTTAGTTCTTTGAACATATTTATAATGGCTACTTTGAAGCCTTTGTCTGCTATGTCTGACATCTACTTACTCTGCTTTTGTTACCTGCTTATATTTTCCTGTCATTGGGTCAGAATTTCATGCTTCTTTGCCTGCTTATAATTTTTTGTTAGAAACTGGACATTTTATTTACTTTATTTTTATTTTCTGCCCCAATATGATCTGCAAAAAACAAACAAAAAAAATGGACATTTTGGATAATATAGAAACTTCAGGTCCTTGCTCCCAATCCCCTTTGGGGCTTGTTATTGTTATTTAGTTATTTGTTTAGTGACTGACTGTATTATTTTTGTGAAGTTTGTTTCCTCTGCAGTGAGTTAAATTACAGGTGTTCATATAAAGTTGTATCCAGAATAGATTTTTAGTAAAATTGCAAAAGTGGCGTGCATAGAGCATGCTTCTAAGTATGGAGGCAGAAACAAGAACATCTCAGCATAGACGATTTCTGAAAAAAGAGCCAAGAAACTAGTGAAGTAGCTACTTCTGGGAAGGAGAATAAAGAACTGGTGGGCTATTATGAAGAGAAACTCATCTTTCCTTATATCTTTTTTTTTAGCATATGTTTTGTTTTGCCAGGTATATGCAATTCTTCATAAATATAAAAGGGCAGAACAAGTGAGTTTTTTTATTTTCATTCAAATAAGAATCTTAGCAATCTCTTAATAAATCATGAATATATAATTTAAATAAACATTAAGTGACTTCATTTAGAAATTCTGCTTTGATTAGAGATTAATGGTGATTGAACTTGAATTTATCAAACTTATCTGATAGTTTTCAAAATCAAACCAGTCTTTGTCTACTGTTTTTTCTGGTTAAGTCATTAATGATATTATAAACCTTAGCAAAGGTGTCTGACTTTAGAACTAAATTGTTAACCTAGAGGAAATGCCGATATGTTTTGATTATTTCCTTCTCTGCCCTGTTGGTAGCCTTCAGGGATGGATATTACCTTGCCCTTGTGCTCACTTCCACATCACTGGAGTTTCCCCTTATGTGGGCACTTCTCCTTGCTCAGTTTCAAGATCTTTTGCAGAGTGCATTTATTTCTCAATGATTGCAGGCAACCAAGAAAACTGTGAACTCTTTCTCAAACTTTATTGTCTGAGTTCCCCTCCCCCAGAAGGACTCTGTGCTTCCTCCCTTTAGAGTTTGGCTCTTCTCTGATCAGGTTCACTACAGCAAGATTAACCTGTCATTAAAAAAGATAATTGTACTTCAGGTTTTTCCTGTTTCTTAAATGAATGTTGAACTTAGCTCCAAACCCCCTTGCCAGAAAGCAACTGAAAAGCCCTTGGCAACAGAAAGCTGATTATTTGCAAAAGTGGGACTCCTAATTGGAAAATGTGATGGAATGAAAATAGTGAGTCCCCAGTAATCTCCTTCTAAAATGATAATGTGTTCCACTTAATGAATATTAATGTGTCATATTCATAAGCCTGGAGAATTTGAACCTGTGACATAAGAATTTTTTTTTACTTCAGAACCAACATGCTCACTCATTCACACTTCTCCTATTCACAGGGACAAGCCTGCCATTCTTGATGGGACACCCCTAGCAGGCGGCAATTAGCATGTATGCAGACCTCTAATTGGTTGTGAATTTTTTTATGATTTTTTTTTTCTGTTCCTTGGAGTAATTATGCATGCTTTTATACTCTTTATTCTGCTCTGTTATAAATTCCTAACAGCAAATGACCATGTATTTCACCTCTTCTTTAATTTCACTGCTCATAGGGAATGTGCAATGTATGCAACTTGACCATAATTTAGAAGGACTGATTGTATTATTAAGAAACACAAAGAATCTGTATATCTAAATTTGCGTGTGTGTGCCAAGACTTTTACCTGAGGCTCCACACTCATTGCAATAATGTAGTTATTACTTAAAACATACCTAGAACTTTTCTTTGAGATCAGGTCACGTTTCCCAGGATAAAGGGAAGTGAAAGCCTATACTATGATTAGCTTGGTGGTGCCAAATGTGATTCACTTATTTAAGACACACTTTTTGCATAGTAATCAGGACTAGACCTCACAAGGGCCCTGGCATAATTAAAGCCCATCCTTGAGACAATTCCACTTTGGAAAACTTGGGGCTTTTTAAAAGAAATTTCACTAACAGTGGAAGACTTGTACACAGAATTCATTTTTCAATCAATTGAGCATATATGAAGGAATACTTCTTAGATAGAAAAATATGTGCCAACAAATAAATAAATTTGTAGTAGAGAAAAATTAGATTTTGCCCTGCCATTTTTTAAGGAGAATGGAATTGGATAGTGTGGGAATCCTTTGTTTTGTTTTGAGCTGAAAGCCAACCTTTGTGTAATGACTTATTTTCCTCAGAGCTGAAATGTTGGGTCTGTGAAAGTAATGAGAAGCACAGTGGAAATAAGTTTCTGAAGGATGGAAGAGGCTGGAGGCTGGCTAGTGGGAGAAGGTTCCCAGACACGTGAGAGACCCAGCAACAGGTAAGAGAATAAATTGGTAAAGAAGAGACACATTGGAGGGGTGATTTATTTAAAAGTAAAATGCTGTCTGTTAGGTATTATAAAAAAAAAATCTATCCTATGTCCCTTATGAAATCCTCAGTGAAAACTCAGTATCATTTTATTATTATTATTATTATTATTATTATTATTATTATTATACTTTAAGTTTTAGGGTACATGTGCACAACGTGCAGGTTTGTTACATATGTATGCATGTGCCATGTTGGTGTGCGTGCTAAAGGCTTTTCTGAGGGTTGGGTGTGAGGACCACAAGGGATACTTCCCAGGAGAAAGTTATGTTGCATTTCTGTGCTGGGCCCAAGGTAGTGATCACCAGGTGGGGATTGTATACCTTCAGTTCTCCCTTCAATTTCCAGCACTCTCCCCTGGAGCCCCTCACAGCCTGTCATCAGCCAAGTGAATTACCTCCTTCCCTATCAGTACTTACACATTAACTTTGGGGAAATCTCAGTGCAGGAATCTCTAGCCAAATCTTAAGAAACACCATGGCTGGCAAAACTGCAACTGACAAAATAAATTTCATATCAAATATAGGATTGGGGGAAAACAATGAAAGTGGCATTGAATGTATGAGTGTCAAAAATAAATAAAAATTGGCATTGAACGCGTGAGTGTCAAAAATAAATAAAAATTGTACAAAGCCTCCATTCCCTCAAACAAAGCAAATTTCTCATCTTTCTTAATCTGCTCAGGTAAGTAAATGTGTACCTGCATCACAGTGTTTAGCTGTTCAGGTGATGTTGCTGCTGGACATTAATAAGTTCACATATCTGAAATTAAATATCTTTTTAACTTGAATTGCCTCGTTTCATTGTTTCTTTGGATTGAGCAGTGGCATGGGTTAGTGTTTAAGTGCCTGGATACCTAAGTTTTAAGACAGTTTGAAGCTCAGCTCTGCAATGTATGATTCCCATGATCCAGGGAAGGATGAAATAACCTCTCCTTACTTCATCTGTAAATGCAGATTAAAATCATCCTTACCTGACAAGAGGACTCAGTGAATCAATGTAAGTAAAAGGCTTAGTCCGGTTGCTGGTGCAGTGGAAGCACAGTGTGTTTACTATCTTCTTGCTTCATTTTCAGAAGATAGACAGGGTGTTAGAACTACCACTGGCCTGTCACAAGTCATCTCACTGGTCAACAGTTATTTTGGGGGCCTGATGCCCTTCCACTCACAAAGAGGATGGTGTGTAAAGAATCTCTCTTGGTGTGACTCCAGGACTGGCCCACTGGCTTTTAACACACAAAATCCTCCTTTTTAGTTAGGCAGGAATCAGCCCAAGACTGAGGATTGGCAAATTGTGAGTTTTGATACTGATATGTAACTCATTCTTAATTACTCATCCACATACATTGTAGTGCCATCTCTGAAAACTGAGAACCCCTGAGATTGTAGTAGGAAAGATTTCTAGTGCCAGGAAGAGTAATAGCACTAAATCAACATGACCCAAGGACACGAGCAATTTCATAATGTAAATGATGATAACCTGTAAAATTATAGTTTTTATTTTCTTCTACTTTTACTGTAATAAATAACAATCTGGTAAAGAAGAGTAAAGACACATACAAGGCTGTCAATATTTTAAACATTTTTAGGAGGAGAAATCTAAAAGAAGAAAGGAAATGAGATAAGACACATATACTGCATGGAAATGATAGCAAAATTTATTTAGAAAATAATCTTCTTTTTACATTTTAGCATTTAAAAATAATTTTTATACATATGCCCACAGGCATAGTTTTTACAAAAATATAAATCCTGAACTTAGCATACGTACCATTTTTAGTACAGTCTTTTATTCTCTTTTTCACATATCTTCTTTCTGCACCTCAGCCAATAAGATTCCCTGCTTCACATACTCTCTCAGTGCTTGTTAAAAGCATTCTGGAAATATTTTTATATATTTCTCCATGATTATCGTGTTATGATTTTATACATATATAGAGTTTTTTGGCCTTTGTTCTTTTAAAAAATTATTTTACGTTTGCTTTTTTTGAATCTTTAGTTCCTCAGATAATAAAATCCTAGTCAACTGGACTAACATTAATTTATTATTTTTTTAATGCTGCGTGGTGTGAATGTACAGTAATCAACTATTCCTGTATACAAAAACATTGATTTTGGTTTACAGGATTTCTCATTTTTATCCTTTTCCTAGATCATGCCCCCAAATGGTTATGTCTTAGGTTATATCTGTTGCTTTAAAGGAATACCTGAGGAAGACCTGGTAATTTGTTTTGAAAAAGGTTTATTTGGCTTATGGTCCTGCAGGTTGTGCAGGAAGCATGGCACCAGCGTCTGCTTTGGGTGAGGACCTCCAGCTGCTTCCACTCATGGTGGAAGGCAAAGGAAAACTGGCTGTGCAGAGATCATATGGTGAGAGAGGAAGCAGGAAAGGAGAGGTGCCAGGTGCTTTTTAACATCCAGCTCTGGTGGGAGCTAATAGAGCGAGAACTCACTCGCCATCCCCCATCCTAGGGAGTGCATTAATCTGTTTATAAGGGATTTGCCCCCCATGACCCAAAAACCTCCCATTAAGTCCCATCTCCAATACTGGGGATCAAATTTCAACATAAGATTTGGAGGGGTAAATAAACCAAATTATAACAGTTTATTTCTTGATTTTGTTTTTGTCTTATCCTTGTAAAATAAGCTAGTAGCTTACATTTATATTTTCCTGCCTACCAATGAGTTTTCATATATCTTCATAAGTTTATTGGCTTTTGGGGTTTTGCTCTTTGGTAAAATTTTAATGAATATTCACAAGTTGCTTTACTCATTTGTGTCAGTTAGAGAAGAGTCTTGACTTTCCCCCCAAATCTCATAGTTACCTGTTTACTTTATGATATGATTGTCACTCAAAATAATCAATTTTTACATAGTTGCTCTGGTTTGAATGTTTGTGTACCTCAAAAATACATATTTTGAAATCTAAATCCCCAGTATGTAGGTATTAAGGGATGGAAACTTTGGAAGGTGCCTAGATCATGAAGGTGGAGCCTTTGTGAACAGGATCAGTACCCTTATGAAAGAAGCCTGAGGGAGTTCAACTCACCCCTTTCTATTATGTAAGGATGCAGCAGGAAGATGTTGTCTATGACGTCAGAGCCCTCACCAGACACTTAATTTGATGGCAACTTGATCTTGGACTTCTCAGTCTCCAGAACTGTGAGCAATAAATTTCTGTTATTTATAAGTTATCCAGTCTGAGGAATTTTGGTATAGCAGCCCAAATGGACTAAGACAGTAGTAAAATGTACCTATGTTTTATTTTATAGCTTTGGATTTTCTATCCTGGATTACAACATTTTTCTGCCCTTGGCTTATACATATTGTCTTCAGGATAGTCTCTAAATGTTTTATTGCTTCATTATTTTACATGTAAATCTTTAGTCTACTTGGGAAATAATTTCATATATTGTAGAAAATCATGTCCAATATAATTATTTTCCATATGAGTAGCGAGTGCCCCGACATCATATATTGAAAAGTGTATTCTCTTACTTTGGGAGGCCGAAGCAGGCGGATCCCTTGTGTCAGGAATTTGAGACCAGCCTGACTAACATGGTGAAACCCCATCTCTATTAAAAAAAAATACAAAAATTAGCTGGGTGTGGTGGTGGACACCTGTAATCTCAGATACTCAGGAGGCTGAGGCAGGAGAATTGCTTGACCCTGGGAGGTGGAGGTTGCAGTGAGCAGAGATCACACCACTGCACTCCGGCCTGGGCGACAGAGCGAGACTCCATAGGCAACAACAACAACAACAAAAAGTGTATTCTCTTCCAGCTGAACTGAAATACCAAACAAATGTTTATATGTATCAGTATATATTTGTGGATTTTCTATTCAGTTCTCTTAATCTCACTGTCTCTTCTGGCTAATGACCTATTGGTTCAATTACAATAGTTTTAGAATAGTTTGAATCCTGGCATGACGAATGTCTTGCCATTCTTTCTTTCTATTTACTAAATACTGTTTGGCTATTATCTAAAAGTTATTTCTTTTTATGAAAACTTTAAATGCCACTTTATGTAATCATAAAAAGCACTCTCTTGGGCTTTAACCAAAATATTCTTATATTTGTTAATTTAGAAAGATTTTATATTTTGTGATCTCAAGTCTGCTATCCAAAGAAATGGCATGCCTTTGGCTGGGAGTGGTGGCTCATGCTGTAATCCCAGCACTTTGGCTCACACCTGTAATCCCAGCACTTTGGGAGGTCAACGTGGGTGGATCAACTGACGTCAGGAGTTCAAGACCAGCCTGGCCAACCTGGTGAAACTTCGTCTCTTCTAAAAATACAAAAATTAGCTGGGTGTGGTGGTGGGTGCCTGTAATCCCAGCTACTTGGGAGGCTGAGGCAGGAGAATCACTTGAACCCGGGAGGCAGAGGTTGCAGTGAGCTGAGATCGCGCCATTGCAATGGAGGCTGGGCAACAGAGCGAGACTCCATCTCAAAAAACAAAACAAAACAAAAAGGCATGCCTTTTCATTTTCTATATCTTTATCATCAACATCCTATACCACTTCTATATATTTTTTTAAGTTCTTTATAATTTATTTTTTCTACTTTGATGAATATTTTCTTCTCATTTATATGTAAAGGTGGTTATCCCTAACTTATAAATCCTATTATAAATTCTAATTTTTTCAGTCCTGGAATTTTTGGGCAAAAAATGTTATTATAAAATGATTTAAGCTCTTCTTTTGCAGTATTATGTACTTGAGTCTTTGCATTTTTAGAACCTCCAAGTTAGTGTTAAATTATAAGGGTTATTGAGGATATTCATCTGACTTTTTATTTTATTTTGAGTGTTAAATATTGCCCATTTAGGATAATATTTTCTGTTACCTTTGGTCATTTTATTTTATTTGTTTAACTCCTTCATTTTTTACTTAAAATGTATTTAAAAGAATAATAAATTTAATCTAACATCACTTCAGCATTTGCACATTTTATTCTTCTTTATTTTCTTAACATGATGTATTATGTAAATAAATTTCCTGATATTAACCACCCTGCTTTTCCTGGAATAAGCCTTACTTGGTCATAGTATATTATTCTTCTAATAACTGTGCAGGATCAATTTTCTAATATTCCATTTGAACTGAGATTGTACAGTAGTTTTCTGTTGCATCTTTATTATGTTTTGGTACTAAACTGTACACATAAATGAATTAGATAAATGCCCATCTTATTATCTATGACTAGTTTATAACATTAGAATTATCTATTATTTAAAGATTGGATAAACTCAGCTGGAAATCCACCTAATCCTAGTGCTTTTTGTTATCCCTTCTATGATAATTAGCCTATTCAAATTTTCCCTTCTTATTGGGTCAATTTTGGTAATTGATATGTTGCTAGGAAATCATCTATTTTGTTCAGGTTTTCAAATTTATTGCCAGAGAGTTACATCCTGCATTAAATGTTAATAGAAAATATAGAAAAAGTATAATTCTATCCATAATGTTACTTAATGTAAATAGGTAAAATTGAATATGTACATGGTCATGTATTGGATAATATAAATGAAAATATTGAATTTGAGGATATTATTTTCCCCATGGGTTTCTCCTATTATAATATGATATCAGCAATATTATTTTAAAAACAAAGCATTGTACATTAGTAGTTGATAGGGTTTGGTTCTGTGTCCCCACCCAAATCTCATGTCCAGTTGTAATCCCCAATGTTGGAGGAGGGCCCTGGTTGGCGGTGATTGAATCATGGGGGCACACCGCTTCCCCCTTGCTGTTCTTGTGATGGTGACCACATTCTCAGGAGATCTGGTTGTTTAAAAATGTGTAGCACTTCCCCCTTTGCCCTCTCTCTTTCCTGCTCCACCATGTGAAGATATGACTGCTTCCCCTTTGCCTTCTGCCATGATTGTAAGTCTCCTGAGGCCTCCCCAGTCATGCTTCCTGTGCAGCCTATGGAACTTTCAATCAATTAAACCTCTTTTCTTTACAAATTACCCAGCCTCAGTTCTTTATAGCAATGCAAGAATGGAGTAATATGGTGGTTAAGAAAGGAGGTTCTGAATTTGGGCAGACATGGATTCAAAATATGGGTCTGCCATGTGTTCACTGTATGATGTGGACTGTTTACTGGAAGTCTTCTAATCTATTTTCTTGTTCGTATAATACAATGGGAACAATAATGGTGTCATCCTCTTAGGGTTGATGTAAGGATCAAATGATCTAATGCAAAAGCTTAGCATAATGTCTGATACATTATTAACCTTTAATTATTGATAGCTATTGTCATCAAAAAAGCAGACTGTGGAGAACCTGATAGCTACAGTTTGACTTTCATCACAGCTGATATTATTTATAATTCCATTTAGCCTTCCCAGCCTTAAGGGATGAGACGGCCAAAATGAAGAGTGTGTGGTGTAGCCACTTTGTTATTATTAAACTTACAGGCCCTGGCAAGTCAATAGTTCAGTCTAATCCAAGCTGATATGCAGATGGCAGAAGGACCTCCAGGCAGAGTTGTCGGAGTGGCAAAAAGCTGTATGAAAATGCGGAATAATGGGCTAACAGAGAAAAAGCTAGAGGATTTAGGAAGAGACAGCAGAGTGTCATTGATGGGATGAATTTTAGGCTTTCAGGATCAGTTTTAGAAATTCTGTTTCCACCATTTACTAACTGGGTCTTTGAGACTTAGTGTCCTCATTTTTAAAATGGGGCTAATAATCACACTTGCCTCATAAGGTTATCTTGAGAATTAAATCAGAAGATGCATGAAAAGTTCTTGATATGTAGTATATACTCAATAAAGGTTTATATTAAAAAGTGTCAAAATAATGCAGTCAGAGAAGGACCCCAGATAATGTACACAGTAGTAGAATGTAAGTTTCAAGATGGACTCATGAATAATCCCCGAAGTCAGCAGGAGAAATGATGGAATAGGAATTCCTAAGTGGCCTAATTCTGAAATGAGCATGAGAATGGAGAAAACAGTATAGCACCATTTGTACTACCCGCTTCCTTAAACTCATGACTGGATTTGGGAGAAGTTCATGTTGGTCAGGAACATTGTATTTAAACTCCAATTGGATTTTCTGGATGTAAATAGTTATAGTAATATAAATAACAAGAAGTGACTATCAGTGTGCAGATATGCATTTAGAAGTGGCCTCTATGGGATAAGGTAGAGTCTTGTCTGGAGGGTTGATACCTTTAACATGACACTGTAGAGGAAAGCAGCATTGATAATAATAGATATTGGGGAAAGACTAGGTTGGAAAAGAAATAAGTGACACCAGATGATTGACATACAACATGAAGATTTTAAAGCCTGAGTTGAAACTTTCATTATAATTAAAAAATATATATTATTATTTGTTCTGGAAGTTGTTATTGTTGTTTTGTTGTTGTCTGTTAAGCAGGGTTTTTGAAGGGACCTGATTCTTACAGGAGGAGAAAGGAGTTTACTACAGTTAAGAGTCTAAGAGAAAAATCTAGGGTGGATATAGAATAAAGTTTCTTCCTTTGGATGCAAAAAGAAGAATTTTGGCTGATCACTGAAGGATATACTTAAGCCAGTTAGAAAATAACTTGCTCCCCCAAAGATGAAGGATATATAGAATAAGAAGCCTTGAGCTGGTCAGTTAAGCAGGCAAAAGAAAGAGAAGAGAGAGGTGAGAAGGCAGGAAGGAGAAATAAACGTGGCCATGAATGCTGAAACCCTCTGTATACTTGTAATTTGCCCTATTTGCTTGATACTTGTACCTTCATATTCTTCTTGCAGCTATAAAATCGCCTGAGCACTTTAAAGGCACAGATGAGTGCACCGTGCTGGAGGAGATCAGGCTGGCAAGGAATGAAAATCATCAGTGAAAGGCCAGGGAAGAACCCCGGGTGCATTGTCTTTAGATAAGAATCTCTGCTTTCTGAAATGCAAGACAGACAGATATTGAAAGAATAGCAAAGCCAACTGGTTCATCCTAAGGGCTATGTTTTTAACATAGATGAATTACTAGTCAAGGAGAGGGTTACATCAGGAGGGTTGGAAGGGAATGGAGAAAAGATTCAGAAGAATGAGCCTGGAAATGAAAATTAAAACAAAGAGATGTCATTTGTCAACTACCAAATTGGTGAAGACTTACAAAGAATTACAGTACCCAGCATTTTCTAGGATAAATGAAGAATGGGACTCTAATTTATACATTACTAGTGGGAATATTCATCAGCACAGACTTTCTGGACTCAAATTTGGCAATGTGTGCAGAAAGCCTTAAATACGTGTACTTTCAAAGCCATTGTTTTAGTTAGGATTAGTTCAGCTGCGTGTGATAGAAAACCAACTTCTAAAATGACTGAAACAAGATAAAAGTATATTTCTCTTTCTCTCTGGAGGTGGGCAGTCCAGGGCTGGTTTGGCAGCCATAGAAGGTGATATGGACCCAGAGACCTATATCTTTTTGTTCGATCGCCCCAGCAAAGTCTTCTCATATCCTCGGTGGCTCCTTTGGCTCCAACCATCCTGTTAGAACTCTGCCTGAGGAAGACCAAAAGCAGACTTTACCTTTAAATAACACTTTGAAAAGTTGTACTTTACTACACTTTTACTTCTAGCTCAATGCCTAGAGCTTCTGGTTGAAAAGGTGGCTGGAAAAAAATGTAGCCTTTATGTAGGCATCCATGTGCTCAGCAAAATTTCAGTGATCAAATAATAAAAGCAAGGAACAACGAGTGAGAGCAGCAGCCTCTGACCTATTCCACTTTTATTTATATAAGGAAGTACTCAGAAAACAATTCAAAAGTGGGTATACACACATTTATTGCAGCACTATCATAATACAAAAAAATAGAAATCACTTAAGACCCCAAAAAGGAAGTAGTTCAATAACTTATAATACAAATTATAATACATACATGTATAGGATACTCTATAGCCATTAACATGGTATATAAAAGGACCAGGAGCTGTGGCTTACACCTATAATTCCGGGGCTATGGGAGGCAAAAGCAGCATCACTTGCTAAGAGGACTTCAGGACCAGCCTGGGCAACATAGTGAGACCCAGACTCTACCAAAAGTTAAAAAAAAAAAAAAAAAAAAAAAAGCCAAGTGTGGTGCTGCGCACCTATAGTCCTAACTACTGGGGAGGTTGAGGCAAGAGGATCATTTAAGCCCAGGAGATGAAGGCTGCAGTGAGCCATGGTTGTGCTACTGCACTCCAGCCTGGGTGACAGAGCTAGACCTTGTCTCTAAAACAAACCCAAACCAAACAAACATGGTATATAACTGAATTTCTTGATGTGAAAAAGTAATTGCGATGTGTTACCAATTGAAAAGCAGTTTACAAAGTGGCATGGCTACTATCATTCATGTTTGTAAGAAAAAGTCTAAATAAATAAAAGTCAGAATAGATATACGTTAAAATGATAATCTCTATTGATTGGAGGAATTGTTGGCAATTTTAATTTTCTTCTTTGTACTTTGTAATTTCTGAATTTGTCACCAATGACTATAAATGTATATTTAAAAAAAATCACACACCAGGATTCTATACCTATTTTGCACTGCCAAAGATACACCTTTCTTTAAAATCTTGCTATTTCTCGAACTATCACAGTATTTGCTCCTCCTTCCACTTTTGACTGTTTCCATACTAATCATTTCTAAATAAAATTAACACATCAATTTCCCTATAAGAACAACTCTTACCATACTATTTCTGTTAAACCATAAATACTCTGGAATTGCTTCTTGAATTAAAATAAATAAAATTTTCTTTCCTTGAACTTCAAAGTTTTTCACTTGATACTCAAAACCTACTTTGTTCATTTCATCATGCCAATGACATCTTCCCTGACAAATGTGTTATTAGCTGGTCTCAAATACTTCCAGTCTTTTTCTGCTTCCAGGTCTCTATGTCAGAAATACTCTTCTTTCTCTATCTTTCAATGTTAAAATCCATCTTCCATAATCTTTAAGATCCTTCTCAAATAGTGTCTCCCCTGTAAAGCAATTCCAGTAGATGTAATCTCTACAAACTTTTCACAGTTGCAATGGTTATCTTCAGTATTATGTAAAAGCTATTTTGAGGCTTGTCTTCTTCCTTTTGTTAGAATCTTGCAAATTCTCTGAAGCCCAGACTTTAAGTTATTCATCTTTGCATCCTCCATTATACCTATCACAGAACTTAAGTACAATAGGACCTCAGCCAGTGTTCCAGGAAATAAATTAAATTGAATGAAATTTCCATACAGTGATAAGAAGGAGATTACTGCTGCCCACGGGGAAAAAGGAGAACAGAAATGGGAAAGCCGTATTGAGAGGATGTTTGAGAACTGTGAAAGACAGAAAGCAGAGTGAGTTGAAATAAAAAAGTTTCCAAAAAATGAAATGTCACTGAACTTTAATAAAAAGATATGATTCAGAGAAATAAAAAATAATCCAGGACCAAACTCTTTTGTAATTATCCATGATTCTCTTCCTAAAATTGACACATGGTCTTGTCTTGAACATCTCCAGTGACACGAAACTTACTACCTCACATGGTAGCTTATTTCTTTGGAGGACAGTTCTAATTGGTGGAAATTTCTTTCTTTGTATTGAGACAAAATAAGCCCAATTTTTGTCCAGTCCTCCTATTTCATCTTAAATCTTCCTTCTCTAGGAGTGCCATTTACATATTTGATCAAGTTTATTTTGTTCTTTCCAAATCTTTCTACTCTTAAGCTAAGCTCCTTGGTTTTATTAAATCATCCCTCAGAAATCATAACCAGGAGATTCAAAAAGAGCCTGTCTTTTCAACAGATTAATATTCTATCACTGGTATTATCTGATACACATTGCAGACATGCCTTGCCCATCTTCAGCACACTATGTATAATTTATGATCACCCAGTACCACATTGCTACTTTGCTCACTCTCCCCTAAGAAGATCTATGGGGTTTAACAATTTTATAAAATGGGAATTAAACTATCCTTAATAAACAGCTGTTTTTATTGACCTGTTTATGTTGATGAGATTCTCATCATAAATCTCTGACTCATCACTTCTAGCCAGATTGCCATGCCTAAACCACTTTCTTTGAAGTTTATGGAAGCACCACTGCATTTATGCCAGAAGGTGAAAGTCCAGAACAGGTGGGTGAATCTCCAGGTGGGTGATATCGTTCTCAGTAGCACAGATACATGAAAGCAAGCAAGGGGCAGAAAGCACAGAGCTCACCAAAATGGGCCAAGCCTTAGTGGGGCAATGTCAAACCCTACCATATTTTTAATCTGTTAATTGCATCTCAACCAGAAGGTCAGGAAGCTGTATCATGAGAAATTTGGAAATCAGAAATGGGACATGGCTGAGCATACAACTAACTGGGGGGGAAGGACATCCTGGATTTTGTGAGGTAAATGAAGGAATGCACGATTGTATACAGCACTCAGTTATGAGACCATGTGAATAATGTCTTCAGAGACAAGAAAAGTTATCTTCATCACAAAGTGATGATGGATATCACCTAGAGACAACACAGATCGATAGAGAAAGTTTCTACAAGATTAAAAACCTAATGAATGTTGTTTCCTTTGTCTCCTTTCCTACCAGTTGAATAAAAATGTCCAACAAACATTTTCAGAATTGAAGGGTACCAAGTATCTTTTTTTTTTTTCTTTGAGATGGAGTCTTGCTCTGTCGCCCAGGCTGGAGTGCAGTGGCATGATCCAGGCTCACTGCAACCTCCTCCTCCCAGGTTCAAGTGATTCTCCTGCTTCAGCCATCTGAATAGCTGGGATTACAGGCATGCACCACTACACCTGGCTAATTTTTGTATTTTTAGTAGAGATGGGGTTTCACCATGTTGGCCAGGCTGGTCTTGAACACCTGACCTCAAATAATCCACCCACCTCAGCCTCTCAAAGTGCTGGGATTACAGGTGTAAGCCACCACGCCTGGCCAAATATCCCCTTTTATGGATTAGAAAAGAATCTCAGAAGTCAAGTATGTTGTATAAGGTCGTGCCCCCAGTTAGTTGAAGAACTGGGATGAAAACCCAGGTGTCCTGCCTTCCAATTTACTATTCTTTTTACCAAAAAAGTAAGGGATTTTTTTTGCTGATTCTTTTTCTTTACTTTTATCTTTCTCTCTCTCTTTCTTTCTTTCATTTTCTTTCTTTTTTTTTTTCCATAACTTCAAGCAAAACATGATCACTAAGAAAAATCCTAACAAGGCAGAAATAGGGGAACAGGAGGAAATCAATATTATACCTCTGCTTTTGCTGAGGCAAAAACAGAGGCAAGAAATGATGACTTTGACATTCCAGCCCCCAGTATGCTGCCTGCAGGGTAGGGACACCAGCAAATTCAGCAATGGCATGAGAAACACAACAAAACAAAAAGCAAGATTTTTTTAGGCATTTATTATATCTATGCAGGAGAAAGAAGAGTTACAAATATGTCTATTAATTTCATCTCAATAGTGGCTCCCTAATTTGAATGGTGTTAATTTCATTGATTTAACACTGTTGAGTAATTAAGAGAAATGGAGGGATAATCCGGAGTCCTCAAAGGAAACACTGCAGCTAACAGGATCACGCCAGGCTCATTAACTGCTGTTTGTAACCCTTAAAAAAGTTCCCATTTGGCCCAACTGTGTGATTAGTTGGTATCTTTCTATTTCCTTAAAAATATTAATGCAAGATACTATGAGCCTGTCTCAGGGGCAGGCACTGTATCACCAAAGACAAAGTCCCTTGCCTACTTTCCAGTGGCTTTATTTCCTAAATTTAGATTGCAACCTTTTTCAGGATGGGGCCAGGAGCCTCCTTTCCTCTTCAATATACCACAGTCCTGTAAAGTCACTGCCAGAACCAGGGCCGGGGCTTAGGGGAAGATGTTATCTGTTGATTAATGTGGTCTGCACTGATATTTTGTATTGTCTTTGCTTTCTCTTTGAGACTTTGCTATGCTGATTAAAAAAAAAAAAAGGAATCATTTCTCTGTAACGTCTTTGCAAATTGGAACTAATTAGCCCATTTGGGAAAATGACATGTAGTTCAGGGAAACAGACATCCTGAATTTTCTAGGACAGTGCCAGTTTCAAATATATGTTCTTAAGGTTTCTGTAAATGTATGACATATGCTGAAAATTTAATGTTCAGGGGACACAACTACATCTTCTATGTTGCCTTTTTTACAAAAAAGGGTTTTTTTTTAGGTGCTTTTTGGTTTGAGAATGAGTGTTCTACATACTGGCCTG
This sequence comes from Homo sapiens, assembly GCF_000001405.40. Classification (NCBI taxonomy): domain Eukaryota; kingdom Metazoa; phylum Chordata; class Mammalia; order Primates; family Hominidae; genus Homo; species Homo sapiens. The sequence continues at coordinate 87,419,845 of NC_000015.10, read as the reverse complement.
TAAGGCAGTGCTACTCCAAGTGTGGTCCACAGGCTGGCAGCAACATCATAGGGGAGTATGTTAACAATGCTGATTCTCCAGCCCCAGCTCCGGACTCTGTTTTAACGGTCTATCCAGGTAATTCTTTTTCATGATGTAGAATGAGAAGCACTTCTCTAGGGTGTAGATTCCATAATTACCAATTTTTGAGGCAGCAGACAAGCATGCAAAACCACTGGACAGAGCATGGGAGTCCCAGCAGCCAATATGACTCCAAAAATGCAATTCAGAATTTATGAGGTCATTGGAGATGGTAATTACAGGCTTTCTCAACAGTGCTGCTTCTTCAGCAAAGTGGTATTTATGAAGTCCCAAGATGGCCTTTGCAGCCCATGAATCACTGTGACTCTATACACTTCTGTGAATGCCTGGACCCTGGCAGGAGGTGCCCACTGGGTAAAGATTAGTTACCAGTCTTCCCAGAAGGGTTAATGACTCTTGCAGTTCTTACTGCCTGTGACATATGCCCAAGACAATGGAGATCTAGAAGGGATAGACCCCTGGCCAGCCACCTTATTCTTTTTTCTCCCCAAAGGCATGAATTCTACTCAAGTGGCCTGCCCCTCAGCAGAAGTTGGACAGGTGCTTATGTTGCAATTAACAAAAAGGATACATGCTGGGTCCTGCAGTAAATGTCTCCCTTGGATCATGAAGTCTTTTTACCATGTTACTGGAACACAGAAGGTATTGCAATATATTACATATGTCAGGTAGAATGTTTCAAGATTAATAAGATGCTATCCTGTATGCCAAGTGGATTATTGATTATTTTTTAATTTTTACAACAAACCAATGAGGTAGGTATTTTTATTTCCATTTTGCAGATGAACAAACTGAAGCTAAAGAGAAGTATTATGTGTGCAATGGCATACAACCATCTGAAATGGAAAAATAGATTGTGTTCCTATGAGCTTCCATAATACCATGTGACTTCTCTGACATATGGAGGGTTTTGAGCCTGGGAATGAGGCATTGTCTGTAAGTTACTAGCACCAACAGTGTATTTTGGGAACAAGCACAGGCTGAGAAAAAAGAACAAGCCAGATATGAGAAGGGAATCTCAAATATCGGCTACTCAGAAGTGCCTTCTCTGGCCACTCTCTCTAAAATAGAAATGACCCTATCTTTCACAATTACCTGACCTGATTTGTCTTTCATAGTTCCTCACAGAACTTGACATGATATTATATATTTTTTTGTTTTTTTTTTTTGGAAATATTTTCCCCTTTGGAACATAAGCTTCATGAAGGCAAAGACTTGTTGGTTTCATCTGTACATCCAGTACCCATAACAGTGTCTGGCACATAGTAGATACTCAGTGAGAGATTCAGTGTACACACAGACAATGGCCTCACCAGATATAAAAACAGAACTTTAACCCACAACCTGCAGCAACCTGTCCAGGAAATCAACCCCTTATCTACTATAAGCAAACCAGGAAGCCAGCCTGCTGTAAGTCAGACTTTTCTGGGAGTTAGATTGCTATTTCCAGTGACATTCTAGGAAGCTAAACAACTGCTGTAACAATTTGCCTAAAATGAACAGGACTTGATTAATACCTGAAAGCTTCCCTCATTTTTGTCCCCAACTTAGGATCCACTAGAGAAAGACAAATATATTCCCCTAACCAATCACATAGCATTCTGTGTCCAGTTAGCTAGCCTACAGCTTCCCTGTGCCAACAGCCTCCAATCGGGGCATAGCTGAAGCCTTTCCTTTTTTTCCACCATAAACCTTCCTACTTCTCTGTCTGCTTTTGAGTCTCTGCCAAAACACAAGTGACAGTGGCTAACTTCCTTGCGTTGGTAAGCTCAGAATAAATAGACTTTGCTGTTCCCATTTGGTTGGTCTTCATTTATTTCTGCATCAATAATAGATGTTGAACAAATGAAGGAGTAGATGTTCCTTGAGTTGGAAAGGCCAATCAGAGAAGCTTATGAAATCTGTAGGAAGAGGATGTTTTAATGGAATAGACTGTTTGTATAACAATCATATTTGTGTGTGTGTGTGTGTGTGTGCGCGCGCGCGCGCGCTCGCACACATGCCTCCAAACAGAAAACAAGAAGGAAAGGCAAAGAGATGTCATTTAGATGAGACCAAGTAGCCCTGGGGGACATTTTGAAACACATTCATAATCATTGTGGTCATGTCAAAATCTTAATGTTGGATCCTTGAAGACAGGGTTATTACTATGATTTTTCTCCAAGAGAATTCTCATTAGTGTGCCCTGAATGAGAGTACAAGAGTCAGCAAGTGCTAAGGAACTACCTTTCTAGGTATAGCATTAAAGGTCAAAAGTCCCAGTGTTCCACTGGCTAAAGATAAAGACAATTAAGCCCCAAACACAGCAGGACTACTAAGCCCCATATAGATGGAAGCAACTTTTATAATTAGGCCAATGTCTGGTGATCAGGATGGTGAAAATATGTGTCCCACTCAATTAGATTGGCCAGGAATAGGTCCAGGAGCCTCAGGAGATTCCCGAAAACACCCCACTCTAGTTCAGATCTAGAGTTTAATTTAACTGAAAAGGAGGTTATCAAAATGGGTATACTGCTATCGATGCCTTCTTTCATGCCTTGTAGTGTCAATTTACCTTAGAGGCTCCTGTCCCATCAAACTATATTTTTCTGGCTGGTCTAGTTCACAGAGGTCTGTGTGTGGGCAATTTTGTATGCATGTGTGACAGTGTCTGGGACATATCTCAGTGTTGGATCAGGAAGCACACAAGGGTATTCTTGACCTTTTTATGCATAATATGTGTGCCCTGGTCTTGACAGAATGTGATTAAGACGGAGAAATTAAAGGGCAAAAGTGAAATTCGGTTATTTTCAAAGCAACTGTAATAGAACAGATCAATAACTTGTGGCTTGTTTTTACACCAATCTTTATTGTTTTTGACAGATCCCCTACTGCATTAAGTGCAATGTATTTCGATGTTATCTAAGTACCCTCCAACAGGTCAGCTGGTTTCACAGGGATTATTTCATAGTGGGTTGAAATATAATGGTTCAATCTGGGCACGCTGAAAGGCAGGGTTTGTAGCAATGTGTGAGTCCTGTGATTCACTGGTGAGATTGTGATGAGGAATTGCTTGCCTGAGGGGCAGAAACAAAATGCTATGAGATAAACCAAGGCCATTATCCAAGCATTCTTTGGTGTGTTTCATTTTCAGCTATAGATGCTGCTTTTCTGTCAAAGATGGGATGGAAAGAAATCTCTTGTTGGTAAAATGCTAGAGGGACATAGATGGAACATGTTTTTATTATAGAATTATGAGGCAGGAAAAAAAAAAGAAAACCTCATGACATAATCTGGTCACCTCCAGGCCCTTGGCAGAACTTCATTTAAACTACCATGAAAAAATGCTTTGAATATGTATGGCACCACACAGTGTAATATTCTTATTAATAATAGATTTATCCATCTTTTGCTAATTGTCCTTAAAAGGTAATACTCTGGAGTTGGCTATTAGTAGATCATTTCCATATCTTAAAATTATTAGAGTCAGTTAATTTTTTTAAATATCTCATCTTAATTATTCCTTCGGTGTCTTGTCTTACTCTTCTTGAATGACAGCAGGAAAGCAATATTCATTCTAGCTTTTACATTCTAACTTCAGAGTGTCCAAAGATTCCAATAATTTTGTATTAATCAAGGTAAGCTAATCCTCTTTGCTGCCACAGACAAATCCCAAAATCTCAGTGGTTTAATACAGAAAGGTTAATTTCTTGCCATAAGCAAAGTTTAATGTATATCAGGTGACCTTCCTCCACCTTGGAGTGATTCTGTTCTGAATCTGTGGTCTCCAAAATCATCATGGCAGGGAACTGTGGGCTACAGGTATGAGTTCAGCAGTCATTTGGGAGGTGCTTGGAGCAATCATCTCTTTTCTAGGCAAGTACTCTGAGATGCATTTGTTTGTTTGTTTGTAGTTCTTTATCACCTGTGATTTATCCCTCAATTTCTAACATTTTAATTCTCTCAGTTAACTCAATTGTCTAGGACCGAAGAGAAGGATTTTCATCCACATAAAAGAGGGGTTTGTATTATCTGTGATCTCTAGAGCCGTATCAAGACACAAATTAATATTTGATCTCAATTATCTAAGTTGACTGCTGACATTGCATTACTCTCAAATTTAAACTTCATTTGAAACCATATAGGCTTTGCCTATCTAAAATTTTTTCTTAATCTCATGAAATCACTCAAAATGCTTGTGTACACAATCCACACTTGTGTCTCGTTCTTTTCATCTGGGGTAGATGTCCCAAGGAGACCTTATGCACTCATGACTGATGCTAGGCAAAGAGGTTTTTCTCAGTGAGCCAGTTATTGCCAAGTAGCCTAAAAGAGGACTAGCTTAGCTTTTCATTTAGCGATTTTATTTTATTATTTTTCTTATTGAATAAAGTATGTGCCCTCTGGGATTAATTCCCATTAGGAGGCAAGAATCAAGTTAAACACATCCATTAAAATGCATATGAAATGAAACAGCAGAAGATTAAAAGAGTTTGCATTTCAAAATACCAAATACATGACCATTTTGTGAAGAAAAGCAAACAGTTAATAAAGCTAGAGCAGCCTTGTAACAGTAAGGAAATAGCCTTCCTCCCTCCCCCATAACTTTGGGGAGCCCTGCTGTACAAGCACACATTATTCTTCCCCTACCCTTCACTTAGGAAATTGAAGGCTATATTCAAAAATTATGTTAAAATTAGGTGAAGCTCTTATGATTAGAACTGGATGTTCCCAGCTATTTATCTCAAAAGTGGGTGAGTATGTCATCCTGAAAGAAGCCCATCATAACCTGCAAACTACTTCCTCCTGGATCTGAGAGACCCAGCAAAGCTTGGCCCTTTGGCTCTACTTCATTCAGTCTGACCAGCCAAGCTTGGAACTTTGGCTCTACTTAACCATTCAGTCTGTTGACTAGAACATTTTACTATGCTTGGAGGGTGGAACTTTTTCATGAACAGGGTCTTCTGTAGTCAAGGGTTGCAGAATATGCCATCCTAAAATATGCCACTTTGGGATTATTTTGAGCCAAAAGCAATTGAAAAGAAGCCAATAAGAGAAAACCTCTCTGCCCTCTCCTCCATTTACCTAAAAGCAGGACATACATTTTCAAAGGTGTTCCTCCTTTCCTCTCCACCAGGAAGGATGAAGATGGCTTTAGACCTTTATCAGCCTGGAGACAGCACCAGAGGCATCTACATAACCAACTTGCCTAACCAGCTTTTATCTACCATTAGTTTCCCACCCACCTGATTCCCCACAATTTGCCTCCCCTGGAAATTCAAGCTCCTTTTCCTTTATCTTGTCGTTTCTCTAAAAATGCATTATTCTTTGTTCATGATACCATCTAAGTCAGAGTTCTACGCCAGCCCTCAGAGAGTTACTCTTTCCCTGAGTTTTCTCCCATGTATGCATGAAATATACATGTTAATAAACTTCTGTTGGCTTTTCTCTTGTTAATCTATCTTTTGTTACAGGGGTCCCTGCTGAGAACTCAGGAAAGTGGAGAGGAAATTGTTTTTCCTCCTGTACAATAGTCGTAGATTGGCACAGAGAGCTGGAGAAAGCATGCTTTAAAGTTGCATAGATAAGGGTCATGTCCAACACTGACATTTTATAGTGTGTCCCTATGGGAGAAGGGTTTACTCTCCTTATCAGAAAAATGGGCATCAATTAACCTATATTGCAGAATGTTTGTGGGTATTTACTAGAAATATTTGGGGAATAGCCAAGTACACAGAGCTCAGTAATTGATGACTTTTATTCACTTTTATTTTTTGCATAGCCTTGAGAGATTCTTCCAGCAGATTACTTGTTTGGGTTTCCTGGGTCCAACTACCTCTCATTTCACAAAATGTGGCCCATTTATTTTAGCTTTCATTTCAAAATAAAGTAAAAAACAGAAAGCCACTCTGGTTTAGTGCCTTGCCCAAGGGCATAAAGTTATTGAATCATCCAGAGCCAGGCATTACTCGTGTCTTAGTGAGAAGGATGCAAATCTAAAGGCATGTCCTTTTTCCATTTGACTTGGAAGGAGCTTTGGATGTCACCAAGTCCCCACAGGCAGCCTAAAGGGACTTTGTGAGAGGGATGGATGGATATTTGGGAATATTATTCTTTTTGCACTACAAAGGATCTTTGTGTATTGCTTATTTCCATTAGTATTGCAGGGTGAAGGGCATTTCATATCATAGAGATAGCAAATCATTCTGAGATAGCAGCTGTTAGAATTCCTAGCCCAAGTGTATCAGGAGGTACTGTTTTTGACAAAACCAGAGAAATACTATGAGCTGAGTAAAAATAAGAGATTTCAATGAGAAGTTGCTATTGTTACTACGATGCCTTTTATTTTAGAAACTATAATTCATGCATATTGGGAATGAGGATCCTGGATCAACTGTAAAATCATGTTTTATCCACTCTTCATTTGAAGCATGCATTGAATACCTCTTCTGAACTTAGCATTGCTACTGTGGCTAGGGGAATAGGAGAAGAATAGGCTCTGATCCCTGCCCTCAAGTTTCATAAGTTGTTTCAGAGATAAAATTTACAAACTTAAATTACTTGTAGAACCTACAAAACAGAAATTAATTAATTGCCAAAATTCATGTTCTAGAGAGTAAGTGTTATAGGAGATAAGGCCAAAAGAGATCCCACACCCTGTCAAACAGATGAGGAGTTAGTTTTAGGGGAAGATAGGGAGGTTTTATCCTTGTTATATGAGGTAGTCACAGATATCAGGTGGTAAATCTCAGCAGGACCAAGGACAGAAGATGTCAGGCCTACACATGGAAATACATTTGTCCCCTGCCTAGAGTTGATGGAAATTAGAGAAACAGATTTGTAGAATAGTCTTCAAACAGTCTATAAACCCCAGATACAGGAGCTCTACAAAAAATATTTATTTTTAAAAATATACAATTTAATATGTTAACTATTTTCAAAAAATATTAAAAATCGAGTTTAAAATAAAGCCATTAAATAGGTTTTGTATTAAATTTCAACATATTAGAGCACACCTATGCTTTTAATATGTTGCCAATGCATTCATTTTGTGCAGATATTAAATATAAACTTTTCTCATCTCTGGGTACATATTTGGTCTTTTTGTATAGGAGTCATGTGCTCATTCTTTTCTCTTCTAAATGTAGGTATTTGAGTGTCCAATCATGGAAACTAGTACAAGCAAATACAATCACATATCCCATAGTGGCAGTATTATGTTGTAAACACTTCTAATGCATCTTGGTGGCTTTGAGAGACATTGCAAAGGATTCAGCTGTAAAGCAAAAATGTCTAAGTACACTTAATACTCAGCAAAAACAGTTTAAAAATACAAAAACCCAAATTGTTATTGTTTGCAACAATTTATGCATGAGAATTAGCATTATTTACAGACCGTGCAACTGCAATATCCAGAGATAAATTTAATGCTATGCCAGACGCCCCCCTCAACAAACAAAAAAACAAATTCATCTAGTAAACATTATAGTTTCTTAAAATTAGTCTCATTATCATTATTTTATTACTTAAGCAGTAGTTGCTGTAATGAGGAGTTTAAAATACATAGATAGTGAAGTCTTTTCAAATATATATTCAGAATCCAAACATTAGATTTGTTTGGATAAAAAGGTTTATTATAAAAGGGTATTTGAAAACTATTGATTTAGAGGCACAAAAGCTGAAGGCTTAGGTCTAAACCTTGGGCTCTCCAAGCCTTAAGGGGATGGAAGGGAGAAGCAGAGGGGCAGGGGATGCCTATTAGCAAAGAACATAAGTTATTGGTCTTAAATTTCAGCAGCTTTGATATTCCACGATTGCCCTTTTGATGTAGTATTAAGAGGGCTAGAGCATCCCAAAATTGGATAAGTAATCCCTTAATAATTGCTAGATGACTTGTGTGAAACAAAAGCCTTTCTTACAATTAGCATGAGTTTCTGGTAGCCTCATTCTGGCTGTGGTCAAGGGTACTGGTGCACAGCGAAATGCAGATGCTATAGTTTTCTGCTGCTGCTGCCTGGGAATAATCAGCATCTCAGAGACATGGAAGTGCCATGAAAGGGGATAGAGGTGACCCAGAAGAGGCTTCTGAGCGATGCTGGGGTTAAGAAGACTGAAAAATGGAAGACTTAGACCTAACTTTAATGAGAACAAGGAATTCTAAGAAAACAGTTTTTCATGTCTGGCTAGAGGAGAGAAATCAAAGTTAAAGGCTGTTCATTGGTGAGGTCAAGCAGACACCACAGAGTAGTATGTTCAGATGGATAGAATTTATTTCAACCTAGAATGGCTCCTCGGTGACCAGGGAAACTTGCTGAAGTTACTTTTCTGTGTGCAGAGGTGGAAGAAAGGGTTAGGTAGTAAAGGATAGTTTCCCTACCCCAGCTTACCAAGAATCAGCTCTGGAAGTAGAGCCAGACAACTGGAGGGAAGCAAAACTCCATTAACCACTTCCTTTGGTAAGCACCTGCCAAGACTTATCTGTACCAGTCTCGGTACTAAGACCTGGGGCTACATCGATGAAAGCACAGTCCTTGCTCTCCAGGAGCTTACAGACAGTATAAGCTAGGGGACCAGAATGAGTAAGCAATGGCAATGCACTGAGATGGGAGGTCAGATGAAGAACAGCACAGGATGGGGGAGGAGGCAGAGAAAGAATAGCTAGTCTAGGTTAGATTACATTTGATCAGGATAAATTAGATGTAAATTAGCTAAAGAGGAGTGGAAAAGAAGGGCAGTTTCAGATATCAGAAATAGTGCTTTCCAAGGCAGGGGGAGAAAGGGAGGAGGACCTGTTGAAGAGCAAAGGGGAGCCTTGGTTACAGAATTGGGAAATGAAGCTTAAGAAAAAGGACAGGCAGTGTTATCACCAAGCCAGGTTCCCTGCCATCAAGCAGCCTGCATTCTCATGGGGGAAATAATAAAAATATGTAATGCAGTATTGAACCACAGGGGCATTTCTTTCCCTGGATACTATAAACAACTTCAAGAGGAAAAACCGAGAACTTAAGGGGTAATTTCATCCTTATGCCTGCCTGAGATCAGAGTTGAATGATCAACATTACAGAACTCCTTGATAAATCACATACATTGGAAATAAGCTAGGCTTTCTTTGATGGTGAGAAAAAGCTGGAGTGCTGTAAGTACAATAATAAATACCAAGAAATGGGTGTGATAGGAGAAAAGGAAATTAACTTTGGAAGAGAAAGGAGGGAAAAAGAAATCTTCCCAGAAAACGTGAGATTTCATTGTGTCTTTAAAGATGAAGAGATGTTTATTAAGAAGTCAAGGAGGGTTAAGGGCAGTCTAGCATCCGAGTGCGGCCTGTGCAGAGTCGTAGACATGAGAAGCAGCAATGGGGAGCTGGAGAATGCAGCTGAAATTGGGAAATTTCGATTAGGAAGCCTGAAAAATGTGTCTGTTTTTAGAAAGGGTGAACGATAAAGGGGAAAGATTTTATTTTGTCAGTGATGGAGAGCCCCTGAAGGATTTTAAGCCAGGAAAGGATAAGAAATAGAGAGTTCCAAGAAGAGCTTAATCGGTTCTTTAAGCTAAGGGAAGTTAATTAGGAAATGTAAGAAAATTGCCTCTGTAATTTTCTTAGTGTGTACATAGTTGATGTTCAAAATTTTGTTGAAATGCAATTTTATATATTCTCTCTCTTTGGAAAGATAAATGAAGTTTCCAAAGCCCACTGCATCTGGTTGGGTGAGTTGCAGGACAGCCCTAACCCAAGAAATTTATCACAGTGCTTGCCTGCAAAGAAAGGAATTAAGTGTAGAGAAGACAGAGATGGAAGGAAAACTTAGATCATAAACCTATTCCTCTTTACTCCTTGATATTGCAGCACATACATAGGTATATTATCTACCACCATACTTTTTACTTTTTTAACCAAAAAATATTTCTTTATGATTCTCTCTATATAATTTTATGCCACACAGGTTTAATTTCCTGGTAAGCACAGATTTTTAAAAGAACAAATTTTGTGTGAAGGACCAACAACTAAGGAAAAAGAAATATGAGCGAGAAACATAGAACCCTAGTTCTTACATGTGACAAAGAGGAAAGCTTAGAATTAGTTGAAACATACAAAGATATTAAACACAACACAAATGGCCTTTAAAGTCTTGTCTGTAGTAACAGGCTTTAGGCTCATTCCCTGGCTGGTGATGTGATTTTAATAGGTGGTAGGAGGAAGAGAGATGTATTTCTTACTTATTTTGCTGTGGAATTCTTTAGCAACTAAACTGGGTTTTAAACCGGTAAGAACAGAAGACAAAATGTAAAAGTACAATGACTACTCAAGGCAGATGGGGAAGTAAGAAGTGACTGCTTGTCTAGGGAAGTTTAAATTCGTAACTCAGAGGATTCCATCCCAGGATACTAAAGGAACTTGCAAATGTAATCTCAGACTCACTATCTATAATCTTTGAGGATTCTTGGCAATCAGAAGATTAAAATAGGCAAAATTGTAATCCTAAGCTTCGAAATCAGATAGGAAAGTTGAATCCTAAACATTGTAGATATTGACTTATGGACATTGCTCTTGGGTGAAAATCGACGGCAGTCTGGGACCGGATGAGCAATTCTGTCTGTGAAAAAAGACCATAGACTCAGAATGGAAAGCAAAGCTCAGTTTGTAAGCACTGCACTGGCAGACAGGGAGAGACTTCTCAGCAGCCTGAGCTGAGTGGTGCCCCACACCACACCAGTTTCATTACACATCAGAACCACATACTTTCTTTTGTACTTAAAAACAGCCTAAATACCCCCTCCAAGAACTGCCCTGCGGTCAGCTGGGCCAGAGAATTCTCGTAATATTTTGGTAGGGAAGACAGTTATCATAAGGCTTGGCATAGAAAAGAAAGAAAGACATGGTGCCATGCATTAGGAAACTTCAGAAAGGCTATTTGAAAGCAATAGTGATTGCAAGAAATAGGGATTTGCAATATGTCATAGTATTTGTCTAGGAAAACATTTGAAATGTCTAATATGGCTGTATGGTTGTCTAAGAAAGTAGAACATTAACATTTCCTTCATTTCTTTGTTGAACAAAATTTAATCTTTGAGAAGATATGATTTGATGTTCTACTGGTTACGGTGGGCTGATTTAATTATGACAACATCCAGAAAGGGAGATAGTGTGGCTCTTTATACAATGAAAAGCCATCCTCTCTCCTTTCTTTCCCTTCACTCTCCTTCTCTCCCTCACTTCCTTTATTCAGTGTTTATATGTTATTTCTTTTCTGCTAGGCACTGTGCTAGATGCAAACACAAGCTTTCTTGCCTCAAGGTACTCACATTCTGGTGTGAAAGCCTGAGAGATAAGCTAAATAATCATCATGATCTAGTATCATAATGGCTAGATGGAAGACAGTTCTAGAGAAGTGCAGAGAGAGCACCAAGGAAGCTCAGAGAAGACTCATTAACCTTGTGGCATTTTTAAGTGTTTGCCAACTGGATGTTACAGAACCAAACTGTGGTCTGCTTGCCTGGTCTAGTAAGGCCAAACATCCACACTGTGATTTGCAGTGGGAGAAAGGAGGGCATTTATTTGCAGGGAACAAAGCAAGGGAAATCAGGCAGCTCACACTGAAGACCAGACCTCCCTGCTGACCTGCCTTTAAAAACCCAGGGGGCGGAGGTTACAGGGAAAGTTATACATCAATACATGGTGGCTATACATTGGTTTGACCTAAAAAGGTGGGGCCTCTCAAACCAGGGGTTTACAAGTTATAGGTAGATTCAAAGATTTTCTGATTTGCGATTGGTTAAGGAGGGAAAAGTTTTATCTAAAAATTTGGGGTCAGGAGAAAAGGATGTTAGCTCTATCACATGGGTGTGACTTCCTTCAGGCTCCTCAGCAAGAACTTTAAAATAAAAAATGGTAGTTGATGTTAGTCTCAGTTTCCCCTTATCTGAGGTCTACATGCCAGTAGTTCCATTTTGTGAGGGTCTGGGTTTCTGAAAAACAACTCAAGGACATATGTTAATATGGTATCTTTAGACCGAGTGCGGTAGATCATGCCTGTAATCCCAGCACTTTGGGAGGCTGAGGCGGGCAGATCGTGAGGTCAGGAGATTGAGACCATCCTGGCCAACATGGTGAACCCCGTCTCTAGTGAAGTACAAAAATTAGCTGGGCGTGGTGGCATGTACCTGTAATCCCAGCTACTCGGGAGGCTGAGGCAGGAGAATTGCTTGAACCAGGGAGTCAGAGGTTGCAGTGAGCTGAGATCGAGCCACTGCACTCCAGCCTGGTGAGAGAGCGAGACTCTGTCTCAAAAAAAAAAAAAAAAAAAAAAAAAAAATATATATATATATATATATATATATATATATATATACACACACATATATATATATACACACATATACTCTATATTATATATATACATATACTATATATTATATATATACGTATACTATATATTATATATATACATATACTATATATATTATATATATAGTACCTTTAGTTTCTATAAAGAATATCTCAGGACTCTAACTTCCTTGGCTATTGTTTTAAGCTACTATTACCTTCTTCCTTATGAAGCTGCTCATTTAATTCTCAGGGATGGCTAGGTGCCTGGAATTTCCCTTGAAGAAACTCAAAATTTGCCATTATTTCCGTGCTTTGAGGATGGGCTCAGCAGGTCAATAAGAAGTATTCTTGCTTTGTCTCATGGGGAAGGGAGGTGGGGTGTTTCAAACAGAAAGATCATCATGTACAAGGCTAGGTATTGGGACAAGGCTAGAACTCTCAAAGAGTCTGCAAAGTTTGTTGTCTTAGGAGATCCACCTGGAGAGATGGGGGGAGTACCTTAACTTGTAGGAGAAGACACCTGTTGGGAGGGGTACCGATCAGGAAAATTTCAGAAAAGCCTTCTCTATTAGAGATGGTTAAACTGGTCTGCTCTCCTTGGATGCCAAAATCTTAACATATTTATCAGTTCACTTGCACTTGGTCTGAATAGTAATAATTATTTACGACAATGGCTGCAGTCTCTCCCTCCCTCCCTCCCTCCCTCCTCCCCCCCCTCCCTCCCTCCCTCTTTGTTTTATTCTCTCTCTTCTTTTTCTTTCTTTCTTTCGTTTGTTCTTTTTCTTTTTTCTTTTCTCCTTCCTTCCTTCTTTCTCTCCTTCCATCCTTCTATTATAAATTTGTAAATAAGAAAACCTTAGAAATAGCTATACTAATATGGAGAAATGAAAACTCTTCAGGTAGAATAACTTAAACACATCTATTTATTGAATAGACTACAAATATTTACTATTTTTCCTTCATTTATTTATTGAACAAGGGTACTATTGAGAACCAACTAACTTGGAGCCGTGTATGAGCCACTGGGAATAGACTAAATGAGATAATCAACGTCTTGATCTCATATTCTTTCATTCTACAGAAGGAAGCAGGCAACAGGTAAGCACACAAATAAATGAGTAATTTCAGAGAATGGTACATCCAAAGGCAATATAATCACGTGTTGGTCATTTTCCTGTTTGGTGTCAGTCCCCCTCAGGGCCTTTCTATGCTTTGTTATATTTCGGGGGTGGGTGGGATAGTGGGACCAGGAAAACTACATTTCCTGATGTTTTTCCCAGAAAGCTTCCTAAGGAGCTCTGCCAGAGAGAATCTGTACTAGGGGTTTAGAGGCAGGAGGAGCCTCCTGCTTGCCCTCTCTTTCAGCAGCAGCTATAGACTCCAGTGTCTTTCACCCATATTCCTGCAACCTGTTCTGTGCTTTTTTATGTGATGGGCAGTCAGGTGTGGCCACAAGCGGAGATGCAGGAGATGCTCAGGAAAACAAAGCTTATTAATATTCTCACATGTCTTGGACACAGGAGGGCATGGCTTGCTACACAGGGCCCCATGGGCAAGTCTCAGGGTGGTCTGAAGGCAGAAAGCAGAAGTGAGGGGAAGGTCTCAGCCAGAGCCTTTATTGAGATTTCCACTGGAAAGAGCAGGACAGGTTGAACAGTTTAGGACTGACTAGTTTGAATAACCTAGGAAGGCTTTGGGCTATAGGGTGGTTCTTAGTTTCTTGGTCCATTGCTCTGGGGTAATTAAGGCAAAGGAATATTGCCTCCTGACGTGTGGGGGTCAAATAAAGGAGTTTTGGCTCTAGATGATTAATTTCCATATCCAAGAGAAGCTCCTGGCTGAGCCCTTTGCTATTTTATCAACTGTATGCAGGCTCCCTTCTGAGCCTGGTCCTGGCACTTGTCACCCCCACGGATTTGTCTGGCATCTCCTCCAGCTGCCAGCACAGGCTGTTGTAGGGGAGGGGCTCCTTCTGGTGGTCCTCGCTTTGCCTCCTCCCTTTGTCCTCCAAGTCCTTTGGATGGCAGCTGCTTCTCACGGTTACCAATAACTCAGTTACTTAGCCACCTCATTTTGTCCACTCAGTATTTCTAATGCTTTTATAATCCATTTCTTACAACCAGTCCCTCTATTTGAAATGTAGGGTGATTCCTGGCATTGGTCCTGTTGATATAGAGAGTGATAGAGGATGCTGCCTTGGGTCAGCTAGCTGGGCAAGGCATCTCTGAGGAAACTGTAAAACAGATATGAAAAATGTCAAGAGATTACCCTTATTTATACCCAGGGGGTGAGCACTCCAGGCAGAGGTGCCTGCAAGTGACTTGAGGAAGGAGAAAGTGTGGTCAACTCTAGAAATGACTAGGTAGAACTCTGATACTAACCTTCCAATTACTCCTCTTTAAGAATTGACTTCATGCTGGGTGTGATGGTTCGTGCCCATAACCCCAGCACTTTGGGAGATCAAGGCAGGAGAATGGCTTGAGCTCAGAAGTTTGAGACCAGACCAAGCAACATAGCAAGACCCCCATCTCTCCAAAAATAAAAATAAAAAAATAGCTGGGCATGGTGGCTTGCATCTCTGGCCCAAGGTACTTGGGAGGCCAAGGCGGGAGGATTGCTCGAGCCCAGGAGGTCAGGGCTGCCATGAACCATGTTTGTGCCACTGCTCTCCAGCTTGGGTGACAGAACACGATCTGGACTGGAATTTCTTTAGCTTGGATGCTGGTAGCTGTGTGCAGTGGTCCTAGAACACTGATAGCCCATGTACAATGCTCCTAAATCGACCTTTCTAAAGGTCCCAGTTGAGACTCCTTCATCTGTTCCATTTTTCCAAAGGTTTTGGTTGCCATCTGGTATTTTTCATCCAACCAATGACTTCTCCTTTGTCTTACATAGTTTTAAAGCTGTTTGCACTCTCTGGTTTGCTCTCTCTCTCCCTGCCACGCTCTCCGTTCTGCCCCATCTCTTTGTCTGTCATCTTTCCCTTGTGAAATTCAGCTGTGCCGAGGGAGAATCAAGTGCGACATCTTCACTCCATTCTGGATTTAGGCAAGGAGAACAACTGCTGGGTCCCATCTGAGTTGGAAAGAGCTCTCCCATGGAGAAGGAGTCTTAGACACAATGGTGTTTCCTGATGATTGCTATTTCGTATTCTCATTCATGCAGCTGTTCCCTTACTCGCTGGAGAATCAGTTGACTACCAGTGTCATCAATGTGGTGACTGAAACTCAGTGAGACCTGGTTTCATTTCTCACAAATAGGTTGAGTTTCATCCTTCAGTTTCGTCTCATTTGACCTTGGAAAGCATTATCCAAATTTGTTGAGCCCTTCAGAGTGAGCACTGACCTCAACCACCCTCCCAAGGAGAAGCTGGTGCTTCATGACACTTCATGACCTTTTATCCGAAGGTGGTCACTTGGGTGTCTATTTAAGTCTAGACGAGCACAGCAGGCCATTGTTTGAAAATAGGCACTTTTAATCTAAAAAAGCTTTTTTTCCATGTGCTTTAGGGGAATTAAAATGATCAGTTCTGTATAGCTGAGTGATAGTGCAAGCCAAAATATTTTTGAATGAAAAGGGATGCATGGTGAACATAACTTTGATCTTTGTCTACCCTGGCTTATGGGCCAAAAGTTGTTTATCCAGGACAAGGTTTAGTAAAAAAAATATATCTCAGTACAAAAGGTATGGTTTGTTAAAATGTTAGTCATTCATTCTACATATTCTTTGTAGACTTTACAAATCAGAAAATCAAAGACTATGGTGAATTCTCATCTCTGCCCATAAAGGGGCTTCCAGTAGGGCAGAATGCCTAGACTGGATAATATTCATTTTAGTACTTTTCATGATATGAGTCTATGGCTGGAAAATTCTTTGTAGTTGTTGTATAGGCTCTCTTTACTGATTCCAAAGAGCTTATTTTAGTTATTTCTATTCACATGTCTGTTTCTCAAAGAAAATGGTTAACTTTCCCCTGAGACAGGAGGAAGAACTGCATTTTGTTGTAGATTTGTATCCCCCTCTGGAATGCTCCCTCGGTTATTTTGCATTAAGATCAAGCCATTCTTCCATCAAGAGAGCTTCCAGGACCACTCCAGCGCACAGGGATCACTCTGTCCTTTCACATCAGCTCTGTGTCTGTCCCTCATATTTGACAATCTGCACACATAGCCTATAGGACATTGTTGATGGTGTGCTAAATAAATTATTTTTATCAGCTTTACTTTTTGTTCTGGATCACTACTCATAAATATCTTATGCTATTAATTAGTTTCTAAGTTACTTACGAACAATAATTGAAGTTTATAATTTTGTGTTTTTCGTGATGCCAACCCAGTACTGAGCACACAGTAGGTCTCAGTAGGTTTTTCAATTTGATGATTTCATGACAACTAATGTGAATATCTCTTTGTTCTGGTATTCAGAGTAACAAGACGGAAGTCAAACTTAGATATAATGAGCTAAAATATTTGCGCTCCAACTCCATCCATTTGGCTGGTAGGGATGTTTTCAGTGTTTAAAGATGAGGGATGCATCCGGGTGCGATGGCTAACATCTGTAATCCCAGCAATTTGGGAGGCCAAGGTGGGCAGATCACCTGAGGTCAGGAGTTTGAGACCAGTCTGGCCAACATGGTGAAACCCCATTTCTAATAAAAATACAAAAATTAGTCATGCCTGGTGGCGCATGCCTGTAGTCCCAGCTACAAGGGAGACTGAGGCAGGAGAATCTCTTGAACCTGGGAGGCGGAGGTTGCGGTGAGCCAAAATCACACCACTGCACTCCAGCCTGGGCAACAGAGAGAGACTCCGTCTCAAAAAAAGAAAGAAAGAAAGAAAGAAAGAGAAATAAAATAAGGATGAGGGATGCAATATTACAATCCTTTTAAATTACTGATTTTTCTCCTCCAAGCTTTCTTCAGCCCAGTGTTTTTCCATCCGAGTAAATAGCACCATGAACATCTGACTGATGAGGCTTAAAACCTAGAAGTCACCCGTTTCTATTTTAAAAACAGATTCATTGAGGTATAATTGATAAAATATTGCACATATTTAATATGTTCAATTTGATGGCTTTGGATATATACAAACACGGATGATACCCACAGTCAAGGTAATATCATATAAATCTTTCACCTTTTACTCCTAGTTCTTTTTTTTTTTCCCCTTCTCCCTACACATCCAATCCACTGCAAGTGCTCCACTGACAAGTCTAGCTCAACTACGAAAGATGACTCCTCTTCCCATCCACACCTTAGTCTAACGCACAGCAGCTGCTTCAATGGTCTCGGCTTCCCTTGTCACCTCCCTACTCTGCACAACAATCACTGTGATCTTTTCAACAAATGCTGATAAATCTCTTGTAACCTCCCTGCTTTAGATGCTCCAGTGGCTTTTCACTGCACTTAAAAATCCTAAAGAGTGTGCGGCAGTATATCATTTGGGGTTTAATTTGCATTTTCCCAATAAATAATATGTCAAGAATCTTTTCATGTACTTATTTGCCATCTCATCCATATATCATTTTTAGTGGTGGTTTTCTTCAAATCTTCAGCTCACTTTTTAAAATAAGGTGGTTGTGCTTTCTTATGATTGGGTTTTGGGAGTTCGTTTTATATTCTGGATACAAGTCTGTTATCAAATATGTGTTTTGCAAATGAGAATTTTCTCTCAGGCTGATTGGTGTCTTTTCATTTTCTTAATAGTGTCTTTTGAAGAACAGATGTGTATAGTTTTTATGAAGTCCAGCTTATCAATGTTTTCTATTATGGCTCATTCTTTGGGAGCCATATCTAAGAAATCTTTCTAAAATCCATGGTTACAAAGAATTCGTCCAGTGTGTTCTAATAGAAACATTAATTATAGTTTCAGTTTGGGTTTTCTTTTTCCCTCCCTCCCTTCCTCCCTTCCTCCCTTCCTTTTCCCCTTCCCCTTCCTTTTCCTTCCTCCTTTCCTTCCTTCCTTTTGCCCATAGATGCCTGTTCCAGCACCATTTCTTGAAAATGCTATTCTTTCTCCCTTGATTTGCCTTAGTATCTTTGCCAAAAATCAGTTGGCTAGATTTGCTTGGGTTTATTTTCTGGACTCCCTCCCCTGTTTCACTGATCTATATGTCTATTCTTTAACTCACACTACACTGTCTTGATTACTGAAGCTATACAGTATATCTTAAAATCAAGTGTGTGAGCACTCCAGTTTTGTTTTTATCTTTATAATTGTTTTTGGCTATTATGTTTCCTTTGTATTTTAATGTAAATTGTTAAATTAACTTACACATTTCAACAAAATATCATGTTAAAGTTTTTATTGGAATTATTTGAATCTATAGATCAGTTTTGAAATAATTGAACTTTTCATAATATTGAGTCTTCCAACTCATGAACACATTATATCTTTTTATTTACTTGGACTTTCTTTGATTGTTCTTCTCTGGGTTTTATGGTTTTCAGCATAATGATTATATAGACATTTTGTTTGATTTATGCTCAAGTATTTAATGCTTTAATGCTATTATAAAGATATTTTAAAAATTAATTTCTAATTGCTCATTGCTAGTATATAGAAATAAAATTGATTTTTATTGTTGACCTTTTATCACGTGACCTTCCTCAATTCACTTATTAGTCTTTGCATTTTTATTTGTCATTTATACAGGAATTTCTACATAGAAAATTATTGCTCTGTACTTATAGATAGCTTTATTTTTTTCCTTTTTAATGTGTATATATTCCCCCCTTGAACTACACCTTTATTGCAGTGGATAAGACATCCAGTATAAGACATACAATATAACAACAAAAGTATTTTGACAACAAAAGTATTTACCATTTTCTTAGTCTAGAGGGAAAACAGTCAGACTTTCATTATTAAGTGTGCCATTTGCTGTAGGGTTTTCGTAGATGAAGATTGTCACCCTGAGGAAGTCCCCTTCCACTTGAGTTTGCTGAGAGTATTTATCATGAATGAATGTCAAATTTTGTTAAAGGCTTTTTTTGCATTTAATGAGATGATTGTAATTAATGGTTTTCTTCTTTAGTCTATTAATATAGTAAATTACATTGATTGATTTTCTATGTTGAACTAAACTTCTATTCTGGGGTTAAACTCCCTTGGTTATGATGTGCTATCTTTTTATATCTTGCTAGATTCATATCCTAATTTTTTGAGCATTTTTGTTCCTATGATTATGAGGGATATTGCTCTGTAGATTTCTTATAATATCTTTATTTTCATTTCAGGGTAATTCTCGCATTATAAAACATGTTGGGAAGTTTTTCTTCATTTCCTATTTTCTAGAAAAGTTCATACAGAAATGGTGGTGTTTCTTCCTTAAATGTTTAGTAGAATTCCCTAGGGAAAACATCTGGGTCTGAATATTTTTTTGTGGGAAGAATTTTAGCTAAAATTGCAATGTATTTCTTAGATGTATGACTATTCAGGTTATCACTTTCTTTTGGAAAGAGCTTTGGCAGTTTGTGTCATTCAATACAATTATTTATTTCACCTAATTTGACATAAAGGTTTTTTAAAACTTTATATTTTATTATCATGTAATATTTATAGAATCTGTAGTGAAATCCTTGATTTCAATATTCCTGATATAAAAAATATGTTTATTTTCTCTTTTTTTTTCTTTATCATTTGAATGAGAGCAGGACAGAATTTGGCAATACTTTTTGTGTTATGGGCTATATGGTCAATATTTTTTGTGTAGGCAGGTCATTGGTCTCTGTTTCAACTACTCAACTCTCTTGTTGTAGTGGAAAACAACCATAGATAATATGTAAATAAATGGGTGTAGCTGTGTCCCAATAAAACTTTATTTACAAAACAAACAGTGAGGTAGATTTTGCCCATGGAATGCAGTTGGTTGACCACCTGGCTATATGATTACCAACTTTACTGATCTTTTGAAAACACTACCTTTTGTTTTAATTGGCCTTTTTAAATTCTTTTCTCTTTTTGAATTTATTTATGATGTTATTTTTTTTCTCCCTGCTTACTATAGGTATAATTTTTTTTCTTTTTGCTAATTTCATAAAGTGAAAGTTTAGATCGAGGATTTCAGTCCTCTCCTCTTTTCTAACATAATCCTTAATCCTGTAATTCTTTTTCTTTAGCCCTGCTTTAGCTGCATCCTTAAAATTTTAATACATTTTATTTTCATTTTAATTGGATTCAAAATATTTTCTAATATCCTACATAACTTCTAATTGTAGGTTATTTAGAAGTTTGTGTATATTATCCAAATTTTTCTGTTGTTGAAAATTGTATACTTTATAGTCAGATGGCATAGTTTATGATTTAAATTATTTTGAATTTTTTGAAGCTTGATCTGTGGCACAAAATATATCCTTGTGCATACTTTAGGTGCACTTAAAAACAATGTGTATACTTGATACTTTCTGGAAAACAATGTTTGATGGAATGTTCTAGAAGTGTTAACTCATTCACGTTGAGTGATACTGTTATGTAGGTTCTTCTATACATAGTAATATTTTTTTACTTGCTCTATGTATTCCTAAGGCATGATTCTTGAATTCACAAACTATTAGGTTTTGCTTCATTTATTTTGAAGCCCTGGTGTAGGTCCATATGAGTCTATGATTGTTTTGTCTTCTTTGGTGAAAGAACTTCTTGAAGAGTATATAATGCGACATTTCGCCCTTGGTCATATTTGTTGTTCTGAAATCTACTTTAATATTGTATAGTCACTCCAGCTTCCTTTGGATTAGCGTTTTCATTACACATATTTTCCCATCCTCTTACCTAACCCTGTGTA
The DNA here is from genome assembly GCF_000001405.40 of Homo sapiens. Taxonomy (NCBI): domain Eukaryota; kingdom Metazoa; phylum Chordata; class Mammalia; order Primates; family Hominidae; genus Homo; species Homo sapiens. The sequence goes on along the minus strand of NC_000015.10, from coordinate 87,398,679 downwards.
TATTTTTAAGAAACAATAATATAATTGGGCCTTGATTTTTAATGCAAAATGACTTACTCTCTGTTTTTAATTGATATCTGTCTTTTGATTGAGATGCTTAGAATTCTTATATTTAGTGAAACAATTGATATAGTTGGTTTAAAATCTATCACCTGGCTATTTTTTTTAAATTTCCATCTTTTTTTTTCATCCTTTTGCCTACTTTTCAGCCTCCTTTGAGACAGGTTAGATTGTAAGTGTTCCCTGTTTGGCACGGTAGAGTAGTACTATAAAAATAACTATGGAAGCTGAAACCATACAAAGTGATCTTAAAAATCAATAGGATCATCTACAATGGTTTCATGACCTTTAATTTTTTTGCCCAAAACATCTAAATCTTTCTTACTGTTATAATGTGTAGAAAAATTAAAACTAAAAACACTAATTTTTTAATATACTGTAATTAAAAACATTTAGTCTACTGTAATTCAAAACATTGAGAATTGTGGGGCTTACTTTGTTAGTTTTTGTAACATAGTAGTTTGGAAAGTGTTGCATTCTTCTCATAGTAAAATTTACAATATGGAGTAAGCCTCTTTTCTATGTTTTGGAAAATTGTTATACTCTTTTATAAGTTTGGATTTGTTTTTGACATTTGGTCTTTTGTGTTTTCAATGTCATGAAATATTTTTGAGAGTTTCTTTAATCTGAAGTTTTTTCAAAACCTTTACTTTCTCTTTTTTTCTCACAAGCCCCTTTACTCATTATTGTCAGTATATTTGTTGTCACTCAGGTCTTCTGGCTGCATGTCTAGAGTCTCTTGGACAATGGCAGTGTACAGGTCATGGTCAGCTACTTTTTTCCATAGGATCCCTTATGTTCAAGTTGAATTTCACTTACAGCATCATCACTTTTTGTTTCTTGCCTGCATTTTCATCTTTGTCTCCAATTCTGTCTTTCAATTACCTTGTTTGTTACATGTAAGGTTATCACTGAGTGACCAAACAGCAACAAAACTATTCGCTATACTGTCTGTGCAGGAACTGAAGAACAGAGTGCAGGGACCAGTCCTTGATAGGTTTTGAAAAGAGTGATATGATTGGTCACTGATAATGATGCATATCTGTTTTTTTTTTTACATAGTTATTTGTGAACTGAAGAGCTTGCAGTAAAGTCTATATGCGGTTATTTGAAGTTATTATACAATACTGAAATATGATATGTTTTGCAGAGGTCAACAAAATCATTGACACTGAAATTTAGGGTTTAAACCATGATAAGTAAAATGTGTGCATATCAGAAAAATGAAAAATAAGGACCATTTGAATTTTTATGATTCCATTTTATCTCTATCATTGTTCTATTATCCATATATCTTTCCTAATTTTATTTAAATATTTTTAATAGAATTTACAATACATATTATTCAATTATCACAAATAATTATTCAGTTATCTTCAAATAGTATTGTATCACCTTAAGTAAGGTAGAAGAACCTTGCAATAATATATCTCCAATTCTTCCCTTACTGCTTTTTCTGGTATTTCTATCATACATTATATTTTTACATATGTTGTAGACCCAAACATAAATAGTTATTTCTTTTCCTTTACATAGTCAATTACCTTTTTTTAAAATTTTATTATTATTATACTTTGAGTTTTAGGGTACATGTGCACAACGTGCATGTTTGTTACATATGTATACATGTGCCATGCTGGTGTGCTGCACCCAGTAACTCGTCATTTAGCATTAGGTATATCTCCTAATGCTATCCCTCCCCACTCCCCGCACCCCACAACAGTCCCCGGTGTGTGATGTTCCCCTTCCTGTGTCCATGTGTTCTCATTGTTCATTTCCCACCTATGAGTGAGAACATGCAGTGTTTGGTTTTTTGTCCTTGCGATAGTTTGCAGAGAATGGTGGTTTCCAGCGTCATCCATGTCCCTACAAAGGACATGAACTCATCATTTTTTATGGCTGCATAGTATTGCATGGTGTATATGTGCCACATTTTCTTAATCCAGTCTATCATTGTTGGACCATAGTCAATTATCTTTTAGAGCCATTACAAATAAGAAAATTGTCTTTTTATATTTACCTTTATTTTGAGCATTCCCAGACTTCATTTTATTTTAGTGCAGATTCAAGTTTCTGTCTGGAATTATATGTTCTCTGAGTAAAAAGTTTCTTTAATATTTTCTGTAGCACAGATCTGCTAGCAATGTAGTCTTTTCATGTTTTTGTCTGTTTTCTGAAAATGTGCTGATTTCATCTTAAGTTTTTAAATGTATTTTTGCTAGCTATTAAAATGTAGGTTGGCAGTTTCTTCTTTTCTTTTCTAGAAATTTAAAGATGTCACTACATTTTTCTTCTAACTCGCATTGTTTCTACTGAGAAATTTGCTATAATCTTATGTTTGTTCTTCTGTATGTAGTGTGTTTTGTTCCCCCACTGGCTTCCTTTTAGTTTTTCTCTTTATTTTGGATTTGTGGCAGTTGGCATTATATGCAAAATAAACACCATGTCTTGGTTTTCATTTGTTTGATATTAATTTTTCCTGCTTGGAGATTTTCTGCATTTCTTGGATCTGTGGTTTTATATTTTTTATTATTTTGGGGAAATTATTGGTCTTTACATATATTTATTAATCCCCATTTTTTTTCAATTTCTGGGAATACAACTGCATATATTTTAGGTGAATTGGTATTTTCATACAGCTCTTAGATGCTCTCATACATTTTCCTCTTTGTATTTTTGATTGCATAATTTCTATTGACTTATCCTCAAGTTTATTGACTCTTTTCTTGGTTGACTTTAGTCTACTGATGAACTCACTCAAGTAATTTATCTCTAACATGATAGTTGTTTTTTTAAGTGTTATTATTTTTAGTATTTCCACTTGACTTTTTATAGTTTCCAACTCTCTGCTGAAATTTTCCATCTGTTTGTGCATATTGTGCATATTTTACACTAGATCCTTTAACATACTAATTATAGCTATTTTAGGACCCTGCCTGATAGTTCCAACACCTGTATAATTTGTAAGTCTGATTGTATTGATTGTTTTGTCTCTTTGAAGTAGTTCTCCTTTGCCCCACCCCCACCACATAACTATTCAGGTATTCCATACTATTTCATTGAGTGACAGACATCTCATATAGAATAGCAGAGACTGAAGTGAGCAGTATTTTCACCTGTAAGTGGGCATGCCCCTTCACAGGCAGGTGAAGTGGGGTACATAGTCAACTTGGTCAGGAGTTGAGCAAGGTTTGGTTTTTCTTTGTTAGAATTACTGTCAGCACACCACAGGCTTCAAATTCTTCTCCTGATGCTTTTTTCTCATAGTGGAAGCTGAGGTGCCAGAAGATTTTTCTGTGTGCCTGTCTTCTGCTCTCAGCTTTTAGCCACAACTGTAGGCCTGTACCACAGAGCAGGGAGATCCCCTTTACCCTTCTCTAACTATATACTGTTTTTGCTTATCGCCTTGGCTTGCTAGGCTAACATAATCAATTGAAGGGCATTTATTTGGATCTAGTCTTTCCCTATCCAGATAAGCTCTATGTGCCTGAACTTTAGAGGTACAATTTCTTAGCATTTACCCTATTTTCTCTATGCCAGGTAGGAAACTCTGTCTTGTATGTTTAATAGGTCTTATCTGGGAGAGAGTTTCCTCTCCCTACCCCCGTGGTAGGAAACCTCTGTATTGGTATAAGTTTCTGGGCTGGGAACAGTTCAATATTCTTCCCGCAGAGGCATGTGCTTTTTCTCTTCATCTTTTCCCCAGTAACAATGGCTCTGTACCTGTACTCTGGTGGTGACAGTGCTGTTGCTCATTTCCCTTTGGCTCATGTGTTTTGGTCCATATGATGGAAAAGTCTGAGCATGGCTATGAATGAGGCTTTATGTTTATCCAGCAGCAGCAGCCTATCCCCTCCCCTTCTCCTCTAGGTCAGTACAATTTTGGGATGTTTCCTTCAGTTTCCTTTCTTGCCTCCAGTCTTTCTTAATGTACCTGGCGAAGATGACACAAAAGGGGCTTGTTCACCAGGTACATTAAGAAAGAGCTTGAGAGTAGATGGCAACTTCACCTGTGTCTGCAGCTCCCAGTCTTGAGCCCCACCAGTTCTAGGTCAGGAAGGACTAGTTTGAGTTGTTCTAGTAAATATGGACCTGAGGACACATTACATGAAGGAGGAACAACGTATATCAACTTTCAGAAGCATGAGAGAGCATTTTGCTTTAAGAGGACAAGCAATAGAATTACACTGAGCAGACAGTACATTTGGTGCTGGACTTTGGCTGAGACTGTGAGAAAAAAGAGGACCCATGATCCCAAATTTCAGGTTACTTGTGGTCTGGAGGTTTTTTGTTTGTTTGTTTTATTTTAATTACAAAATGTGCTTTCTGATGGAGAGGACAAATTAATAATGGAAAATAGTATAAATCTGAAGAATTCCTCTTGTGTTATGCATGGTTTGTTTGACCCCTACAAATCCTATATTGAAATGTGATCCTCAGTGTTGGAGGTGGGGCTCAGTGGAAGGTGTTTGGGTTATGGGAGTGAATCCCTTATGAATAGATTAATCCCCTGAGAGGTGAGTAGGTTCTTCCTCTAGTTGATATAAAGAGTCTGTCATCTCCAGCTCTCTCTCTTGCTTCTTGTCCCACTCTGCACATGTCTGCTCACTTCACCTTCCACCATGAGTGGAAGCTGCCTGAGGACCTCACCAGAAGCAGACTGTGGCACCATGCTTCTTGTACAGCAGCAGAACTATGAGCCAAATGAACCTCTTTACTTTTTAAGTTATCCAGCTTCAGGTAATTTTTTTTTTTTTTAAGATAGAGTCTCACACTGTCATCTGAGCTGCAGTGCAGTGGCGTGATCTCAGCCCACTGCAACCTCCACCTCCCGGGTTCAAGCGATTCTCCTGCCTCAGCCTCCCAAGTAGCTGGGATTACAGGCACCAGCCCCCATGCCTGGCTACTTTTGTGTATTTTTAGTAGAGATGGGGTTTCACTATGTTGGCCAGGCTGGTCGCGAACTCCTGACCTCATGATCCACCTGCCTTGGCTTCCCAAAGTGCTAGGATTACAGGTGTGAGCCACTGCGCCCGGCCTCAGGTGTTCTTTCATAGCAACACAGATGGTCTAAGACACCTTGAAAACTTGAAAAATTTGAATTGCAGTAATGGTAGAAGACCTCCCATTTACTTGCATTTCCTTAGTTAAATCTCTGTCTTTCTAAACAGCAAGAAGAAGTTCAGGTATCTCTCATAGTTCTTCAAAGTCTCTCTTTCGTTTTGTTATTACAGTATGTGTGGAGTCACCTAACCATCATCATCCTGTGACCTTGTGAATAGGAATTTCTGTGCTCTCTTTAAAAAGGAATAAACTGTGGCTCAGAAAGGCCCAGAAACATGCCCAACTAGTGTGTAAAGACCATGTGACCTTTCTATCCTTTTGGTTCCTCACCTGGTGAATAGGTGAGACGGGTTTTCTGGTGACAGGTACAATTATTAACACCCTTGAGTCAGAGCTATGGAGGTTTTTGGGGGGACATCAGTCATTCATCCTAGGCATGCAGTGTGAGAACTGCAGGATTGTGATATAATGCAAAACTAGAATCTAGTCTTTATTCCTCTGGTGAATAGTGGCGTTGCATGACTGTCACATTTCATACCTAGAGTCTCTACTGCTGAAATGAGATTAATTTTAGGTAACCCCATACAGGGGCTACGTGAGAAAGAACACCAGTAATGATCTGTGCTTGAAAGATGACTTTGAACCTAACATATTAATAGAATTCACAATAAGATATGGCTGTACCATGAGCTCAGCAGGATCAAGGCACTATATAAATAGGAGGCAGCATTATTTTTACAATAATTGAATGCTGCTCATATTCCGGCTCTCATAACACTTAACCCTATCCTGTTTTCCAAATTGTATGGGTGGTGATTTGCCTGGGTGATGTGTGTCATATCATTTGTGTATATAGACAATCTTCTTTGGCTGCTAGGGTTGTAAATTGCTGTGCAGAGGGATGGGAAGGTTTTAGTGCACTGTTTCTACTTACATTTGCAAGGTTTGGCTCCATCCCATCCTCTCTGGTCATTTTTCAAGGATCCAGGAAGAACATATAAAATAATAAGCCCTTTGCAATTACATGTCCTATCGATTTGTATATTTTTTCTTAGACTAGATTGCAGATATTATTTAGATACAGATACACAGACATTTATGGCAAATTATGTTAGAAGAAAACATGCTGTAATTTGAATTTGATTTTCCATGGATACAATAAGAACTTGGAATAATATTCCTAGCCAATGGGCAGAATGCCCAAATCTGCTTCATTATTTTACAAGAAAAATGAGGACCATCACTTTATTTAATAACCTGGGAATTATTTCTAATTTCTGTGAAGTTGAATAAAATGCTTCAAATTATACTAAAAATGTCCTTGTTATCTTTATATTTTACTCTGATGACAAACAAGAAAGTGAAGGGACTCTTCCCCCCGGCTCAGAAGGTTTTCTCCAGGTAGAGCTTACCTGCCAGGGGATTTTGGAGGAGATTTTAGCCTCATTTGACAGCTTTTTGGGGTAGGAGGATTGGGGGATACAAAAGACCCAAGGAGGTTTCTCATGGTATACCTGCTTTAGCTTCTTCCACATGCTCCTGCAGTAAGCCAATTGTAAACATGAAGTGTTTTGCACTTTTATCTTCTTTGAATTGTCTTTTCTGGTCTTCTGGGAGACCCCCTTTCTCAGCTCTGCCTTTTTCTATGGATTGTTTGCAACAAACGTCATCCCTGCCTTCACAGACTGCAGTGGACTTGTCCTGCTCCTAGTCCCTCAGCCTTCCATTCCTCAATCTGTGGTTAGGTGGACATGTCAAATGAAACAACACTTTTACTTCAGTGTTGGCCAAATTTCAAAGAAGCCACACAAAACCTTTCTTGCACAATCACATGATCAAAATTCTCTTTAATCTCAGCCACAGTAGGCTCCTTGACCTATGATCATGACCAAAAATATCAGCTGTTTAACTTCTTTCTTTTCTTTCATCAGGCACATGGGATGACTGAAGACATTGACTAGAAATTGGGAAGATTTATGATGATTACAGTTCTTTTGAGCAAACCCTTCAGCATTTTTGCAAAAAAATGATTTCAAGTTTGTCTTTTTCATGGGCTATACTCTTATCCTGACAACATTCAGTATTTTCAGGAGTATCTTAAAGTCCTGCTTTTCATGTTGTTTCTAAATGAGTTTGCTAACCCCAGGAAAAAATAACTTTGATTTTCAAGTGAAGATGTCCTCACTCAGATTCTTCTTTCCCTTTTCTCTCCATCCTTTTCTCCTTGCTTCACTCAGCTTGTCCTCCCTAACAGTAAAGCAAAGAACCATGTTCTGTGTCTAGTGCTGCAAGAGAGAGAGGTTTCAGAACCATCAGTTTTCATTATGAGAAGTCAGAGCAAAAGCCCGCGTCTATGAACTAGGAATCTTTGATCTTTTCTATGACTTGGCTTCAGACTCTTTTTGCCAGTGGTGGAGATAAATTCAAACTGATTTATCTTCATGCTGTTTCAGTGAGGCAATTTGTACTGTCAGGTCATTAAGAGTGGACACTGGAGAGAGAAAATTCTGACCATTAGCAATATCACCTTGAGGGATGTTTTGTAACATTTTGGTGGCTCAGTTTTCTCATCTGTAGAATGAGGCTAAAAATGGGACCTAGTTTATAATGGTCTTAGGCTGGTTATATAAACTCAGTGCTCACATTTTGAAAGTGTCCCATAAATGGCAATTTTTGTTATGGTTAAGCCATGTTTGAGATATTGCCACACATTTTCAGGAATGGTCATCGGTGTTAGGGGAGTAGGCTCAGCGTTAATGATTTTTTTGACACTGGCACCTAGTAGAGTGTCAAGTATCTAATAATTGCTCAGAAAATGATAGTTTAATATAAGGAAAAATATCTCAGGGATCAAAACTACAAGCTTGGGATCTGAATTATTTAAGATACCAATTTAGTTACAGTAACAGAGACAGATGCAAACTATCAGTGACATAAACAAGATATTATTTCTCTGCCACATAAAGATCCAAAGAGACTATCTGGGCTAGTGAATTGTTCTACAATCATCAAGGACCCAGCCTGCCTCTGTCTTGCTTTTGTCCTGCAGCTTCCATTCATGGTCCTTGAGGGCTGCATTAGTTGTTGCCATCACACCTGCATTTCAGCCAGCAGGATGAGGGGAAGAAGAGAAGAACATTCCATCTCCCTTTAAGGGTACAGGCTTAAAGTTACACAATTTACCTTTCCTTACAACCCACTCATATTGCCATGGTCATCTACAAAGTAGGTTGGAAAACGTATATTTTAGCTGGGCAGCTTCCATTCTATAAGAAAATCAGAATCTATTTTATATATGCATGGCTGGGAAAGTACCATGTCATTTTTCCTGAGAGGCCTAAGTCCCCACATTGAGCTGCACTGAGCTGTTATGTTCAGGGGCAGCTCTGGTATATGAGAAACAAGAACTCATCAGTGCTCAGCCCTTGCTCTCAAGGAAGAGATCCTAATTTAACTATTTCAGTTAATGGCATGATTTATCTTCCAATCGCCCAGATTGGCTTCCTTGGGCTCTTCCATCTCCCTCAACAACAACAACAAAAATCCAATAAGTTGCTTTGTCTCCTCTAATGCCTCTTCCATACATCTCCTCTTTTCCACTCATGCTACCACCCTAATTTAGGCCTAATTACATACCACTCAGACAATTGCAATTACATCCAAATTGGTCTCCCTTTCCCCTGTTTCTCCACTTTCTAATTCACTCTGCAATACAACTGCCAAGTTAATCTTCCCTGAATACAGCTCTGATCATCTCTGCCCTGCTTAGAACCCCTGAATATCTCCCAAATGCCTATTTCACAAAAGCCAAGGGCCTCTCTCAAGGCTCTCCACATTCTGGCTAGCGCTTACCTTTCTAGCTTGATTTATTCTTCTTCCACAGATCTCATGTTTCACAAATTGCTCCGTATTTTCTTAGGTCCACTCTTCTGCAAAGAACATTTTGCTCCTCATGGAATGTCTTATCCCCTTTCTGTGGATTAAAACCATTTCCATTCTTTACAGCTTAGTACCGGTGTTACTACTGGAGACCGTTTCCTGTAGGGAAGGGATAGTCCCCTCCCATGAACTCACTTTGGAGTTTATTTTAACTCTCGATTGTGGAATGCCTCATATGCACTTTTAATAAAACAAATCATATGCGTACAGCTCAATAGGTTTTCAAAAGGTGAATACGCCCAGGTAACCAGCACACCAATGGACTAAGAGAGTTCTAGCAGGACCTAGGATTCCCCTTATGCCTCCGTCTGTTTGCAACTTCTTTAGGCCCACATCGAAATGAACCACCATCTTGATTTCCAAAGCTACCAATCAGTTTTTACCCTGCATAAATCGAATCACACAGTCATTATCCTTTTCCGCTTATTGTCTTTCTGATTCAAGCTTATGTTCATATGATTCACCTATATTGTTACATACAGTTGTTAATAATTTAGTCTTTGCTATATAATATTCCATTGGGTGAAAATTCCGGAATTTATTCCATTGCATTGTTGATGGGTATTTGGATAGTTTCCAATTTGGAGCTATTACAAATAGTGCTGCTATCAGCATTCTACTTTGTGCGTTTTGGTGAACATAGGAATGTATTTGCTAGGATAGAAAATACAAGGTCATGGGTATGTTCTAATTTAGTTGGTAATGGAAAACAGTTTTCTAAGGTGGTTTTACCAATCAACACTCCTAACAGCAGTAAAAAGAGTTTCAGTTGTGCCACACTCTTAACCACACTTAGTATTTTCTGAATTCTTAATTTTAGCCATTCTAAAGTGGGCATTTAGTGGTATCACATTGTAGTTTTAATTTGCAATTCTCTGGTGGCTGACAAGTTGAATATCCTCTTTCGTAAAGAGTCTATTCACATATTTTGCCCATTTTTCTATTGAGATTTCTGTTTTTTTTTAAAAAAAATTCAGTTATAGGAATCATTTATATGTTCTCAGTATGAATCCTTTGTTGCTTATATGCTTTGTCAAGTCTTACATACATTCCAAAGTTATTTAAGCTCAAGAAGTGCAGAAGTAAATGTGTTTACGTGTGTGTGTGTGTGTGTGTGTGTGTGTGTGTGTATCCCATTCTATTTGAAGTGTCTGGCATAGTGCTCAACATGTAGTAGGTCCTCAATAAACAATTGGAAAATGAATGAATAATTCAATGACTACCTTATAATGCCAAGATATTATGAAAGCAAGGATCCTCTTTCATTCATTTTATTCTCCTCATCCAGAGTTGTGTTGACAGTATTTCTTTAATTAATCTCTGTCAAATAAATGACTGAATAGCTTCCAGTAACCAGAAACACGCCATTGTGTGCGAAGTTCTCCAAGGGAGAGCTCTCATGGTAGTGACCAATGAAGACCCAGTAAGCTGCTTCCTTCCTGCTGCTGGTGTGAAGGATTCTGAAATACCTTGATTACACTTGAAAAAAAAATGCTGGGGTTTTTCAGCTCATGGATAACTCCAAAAGTAGGATTTAAAAAATGCAAAGTGCCCATATGCTCAGCTCATACTGAGAAATGGTCTCAAGAGTAATTAAAAACAGTTACAAAAGCAATGGAGTTGTAACAATTGAAATATCACACACATATGTGTGCACTGAATCAGAAAACCCCATAATACTCAGTCACTGAATATTTCTGCGACTCTGAGGTTTGTGATACAGAGTGAACATCCTTATTCAATGCTTACATCTGAGAGCTGAATCACACCTCAGAGATTTCACCGGTTTTTCTAGTCCTAGCTTCTGTTTTTAAGCTGTGTGCTTTGCTTCAGCTGAAAGGCTTCAGGCTAGTGATTGTGGCTTTATGTGTTTTACCACTGCTAGTGCTCAACAACCCAATAATAATAATGACATCAGTATATTTGTGTCGCAGGATGTCTCTTTTCTTATGCAGGTGTGTGATGAAAGGTTTTTTTTTTAAATTTTTCCACTACTGCATTTAAAATAGAAACATATAATGTATATGCTGATTTCTGAATCTGATGAATTTAATTTTTGCACTCCATTCTGCAAATGACTAACCAAATAGGACGTGGAACGTAGAGGCCACAGAACAGGGGTAAAGATCTGAATACAATGATGACAAGAAAAAAATCAGAGTGGTCTTGCAGAGCTAGGAGCTAGGTGTTACAGTGAAAAATCACAAACCTATGTGCTAGAACAAAGGTTGACAGATTTCTTTTTTCTGGAAGGTGTCAAAGAGATAATATTTTTTACTTTGCAGGTCATACAGTTTTTGTTGCACCTGCTCGACTCTACTGGTGTGTGTATCAAAGCAACCAAAGACAATACATGAACTAACAAGTCTGTCTGTGTTCCAATAAAATTTTATTTACAAAAATAGGTGCTCAGTCAGATTTGGCCTTTGGGCTGTAGTTTGCTGATTCCTGATCTAGAAGATTACTACCTGATATAATTTGGATATTTGTCTCCTCCAGATCTCATGTCAAAATTTGATGCCCAGTGTTGGAGGTGGAGCCTATTGGGAGGGGCTTGAGTCCTGGGGGTGGCTCCCTCATGAACGGCTTGATGCCAGTTTTGAAGTAATGAATGAGTTCTTGCTCTATTAGTTCCTTAGAGAACTGATTGCTAAAAAGAGCTTGGCACCTCCCTCCCACCTCTCTCTCTTCTTTCCACTCTTGCTATCTGATGCTGGCTCTCCTTCACCTTCTGCCATGAGTGGAAGCTTCCTGAGGCCCTCTCAAGAAGGAAATGCTGGTGCCATGTTTCTTGTACAGCCTGCAGAACCGTGGGCCAAATATACCTCTTTTCTATATAAATTACCTGGCTTCAAGTATTCCCATATGGAAACACAAATGGATTAAGACGCTATCGATTGGTTTATGATCTTCACTTCTCTATACTTTTATCTGTAAAATGGGTCTAATGATACCTGTGCTACCTGCTCACAAATAGTAAGAATGGCCTGAGATACTGTGAAAGGCTTTTGTAAACTCATACACTCTATGGTGCTGTGCAAATGGTAGGTATTAAAAGCAGACAATTTTAGTTTGAGAAGGAGACATATTATTAATGTTTCCCAAGCCTTTTGTTTTTGTTTTTGAAATAGTAAAGCCAAGATTCAAAGAGCTTAAGATATATGCCAAGGTCTCACAGTTCGATGACAGCAGATTCCGTGTTAAAATATCATTGTAATGGATAGGAACAATAATTATAAGAGACAGTGGCTCATATAGTTACCCTTCTAAATAATATGTCCTCCCATCCCTTCATTTGGAGCATGATAGTAAATACCACTTATTTCCTCTCCTACTCAGAAGATACTCTGAGAAGCACTGAGCCTAGTTTTCTCTCCAGGGAAGAGTAACTCCCCAGAGGTATCTGAATTTAAAGATGTGATATGGATCTGAGAGTGCCTTTGTCTGCAATGTCTCCACTTTGCTCTCAGACAAGACAGATGTATGAGAGGATTACTCAAGCAGATGATTGGCCCTTTGCTCCTGGATCTTCTTGGCCATCTATAATTCAACATTTAACAATTTAAAGGTAGGAGCAATAATATCTATGGGAAATAGTGCTCAGGATTCATATACTCTCCAAATTCAGAATTTATCAAAACTGTTGGGCGAAAGTTGTTTGGCCTTTGAGGTATTCTAGATGACACCTGCTTTAGTCATTGTAGAGCAAGCTTCAGTCTTGCATAACTACTACTGCAATAGACTAGGTTATATACCCACTCCCCTGAACCTTTTCTCCAGACTTCAGGACAAGGGACGGGCTGCCCCTTTTCTATAACCATATGCCCACCTGTGAACCAACTGGGGAAATTTAGTTCATTTCTAAGATGATATCATACTAAAGGGAGCACTGAGATTTAGGCAACATGTTCTAGGTTGAGGGTAGGATTTCCGACAGGTGGGAATAACAAACCACAGTCTAGTCTTGGCTCTGCTATCAAACAAATGTTGGACCTTATGCCTGTCTTTTTCTATATGTGGGCCTTATTTTACCCAATTATACAACAAAGTGATTAGGCTAGATGATTTATAAGGTCTTCCCCCAACAAATTTTGTTCTTCTTCAACTCTACGAGTTGGTTCTGTTGGTGGTACGACTCTTGATTTATTTATAAACTGCTTTTATTGAGCACTGACTATATCCATAGAAACTTTTCCAAAAAGCCTAAATTACTGATATTAGTGAAATGCCTAAAATCCATTTGGGTAGACAAAGCAGGATATGATGTATCTGCAGTGGATGGCAAAAAAAAGTGATAAGCCAGAAATCATCGTATAGTCAAGGGAATGTTTCTTGGTAAATGTTAAGTTTTATCCAATATACAAATTGACAGCATTCAGTGACAACCATGCAGCAAAACTTTTAAAGATTGGTAGAATTTGGATATGCTGAGGAAAAGGCATGATTCAAAGGTAAACACTATCAGATTTTTTTATTTAGGAATGGTCTCATTAGAAGAGAGTATTTACGAAGGAAAATTAGAAGGTAATTTTGGGGAAATAATTTGGTATGTAAAAAAGGATATCCTTGAATACCCAAATAAGCAACTTAAGCTTATTTTCCTAGAGGCAGTGACAGTGTAAATATTTCTGGGCAGTTGAATTAATGATATAGGCCAACTTTTAAGATTATTTGACAGCAGTATATTGAATAGATTGGAAAGAAGAAAATTACATAAAGCAGGATTATTTGGGCAGCAATGGCAACAATGCGGGTATGAGGTAATGAGATGCTGATAGTGGTAAGAATAAGCAGATGTAAGAAATATTACTGATGGGCCGGGCACGGTGGCTCACGACTGTAATCCCAGCACTTTGGGAGGCCGAGGCGGGCGGATCACGAGGTCAGGAGATCGAGATCATCCTGGCTAACACGGTGAAACCCCGTCTCTACTAAAAATACAAAAAATTAGCTGGGCATGGTGGTGGGCGCCTGTAGTCCCAGCTACTCGGGAGGCTGAGGCAGGAGAATGGCGTGAGGCAGAGCTGGCAGTGAGCCAAGATTGCACCACTGCACTCTAGCCTGGGCAACAGAGCAAGACTCCATCTCAAAAAAAAAAAAAAATTACTGATGAAGAAGTCACAGAACTTGGCTGTCTTTTGGGTCTGGAACTTATGTCAAGGATTTATTTCAGGGTTTTGGGATGACAGTAACTCGATTGCCTTGCATCTGTAATTATATTATTATTTTTGTATGGATAAACTGTGAAGATTGTGTTACATTGTATGGATGTATGGATAAATTGTGAACATAGGTGTGAACATTATGTGACAATGCATTTATTTTATCCATAGACATTGCCACATAATACCATGCAGAAGAGAAGGACTCAGGCAGGATTTATTTCTCTATAAAGATTTAAGGACTATATTGATTTATAATTTGAAATGAGCTAAACCACACATATTTTTCAGGTTATTAATTTTGAGGTTATTTTTTCCTTCATCTTTACCAATATCCCACTAGTATATTGTGACTCTCATTCATAATGAGGTAACTTGGTCTGTATCATTGGTTCTGTTATTTTTTTTAAGACACAATCTTCAATTTATTTATTCTTTTGACAATTCAATATGTTTTTAAAATATTTACAGAGTTGTGTAAATATCACCATAATTAATTTTAGAAATTTTTATCACTTCCAAAAGAAACCTCATACCAATTAGCAGTTACTTGCTCCTGATGCCTATAGCCCTAGGCAACCACTAATCCAATATCTCTATCTCTTTAGATTTGTCTAGTCTGGATATTTCATACAAATAGAATCATACAATATGAGGTCTTCTGAGACTCACCTCTTTCACTTAGGATGTTTTCAAAGTTCACCTGTGTTGTAGCATGTATCAGTACTTCACTTTTTTTCTGGCCAAATAATACGCATTGCATTGCTATGTAACATTTACTTATTCACTCATCAATTGATTAATAGATTGTTTTCCCTTTTTGACTATTGCGATTAATATTGCTATAAAAATTTATGTGCAAATTTTGGTGTGTGCATGTCTTTTCATTTTTTTTGAGCATATACTTAGAAGTGGAATTTTGGGGTCATATGATGACTCCTAGCATTTGAGGAACTGGCAGGCTGTTTCCAAAGTAGATACACCATTTTGCATTCCCATCAGCATTGCATGAAGGCTTCACTTTCTCCACACCCTCACCAACACGTTATTATATATATATTTTTTATTACTATACTTTAAGTTTTAGGGTACATGTGCACAAAATGCAGGTTAGTTACATATGTATACATGTGCCATGTTGGTGTGCTGCACCCAGTAACTCGTCATTTAACAGTAGGTATATCTCCTAATGCTATCCCTCCCCCTCCCCCCACCCCACAACAGGCCCCAGTGTGTGGTGTTCCCCTTCCTGTGTCCATGTGTTCTCATTGTTCAATTCCCACCTATGAGTGAGAACATGCGGTGTTTGGTTTTTGTCCTTGCGAAGGATTTTTGTCCTTGCGATAGTTTGCTGAGAATGATGGTTTCCAGCTTCATCCATGTCCCTACAAAGGACATGAACTCATCATTTTTTATGGCTGCATAGTATTCCATGGTGTATATGTGCCACATTTTCTTAATTCAGTCTATCAGTGTTGGAAATTTGTGTTGGTTCCAAGTCTTTGCTATTGTGAATAGTGCCGCAATAAACATATGTGTGCATGTGTCTTTATAGCAGCATGATTTATAATCCTTTGGGTAAATACCCAGTAATGGGATGGCTGGGTCAAATGATATTTCTAGTTTCTAAATCCCTGAGGAATCACCACACTGACTTCCACAATGGTTGAACTAGTTTACAGTCCCACCAACAGTGTAAAAGTGTTCCTATTTCTCCATATCCTCTCCAGCACCTGTTGTTTCCTGACTTTTTAATGATCGCCATTCTAACTGGTGTGAGATGGTATCTCATTGTGGTTTTGATTTGCATTTCTCTGATGGTCAGTGATGATGAGCATTTTTTCATGTGTCCTTTGGCTGCAAAAATGTCTTCTTTTGAGAAGTGTCTGTTCATATCCTTCACCCACCTTTTGATGGGATTGTTTGTTTTTTTCTTGTAAATTTGTTTGAGTTCATTGTAGATTCTGGATATTAGCCCTTTGTCAGATGAATAGATTGCAAAAATTTTCTCCCATTCTGTAGGTTGCCTGTTCACTCTGATGGTAGTTTCTTTTGCTGTGCAGAATCTCTTTAGTTTAATTAGATCTCATTTGTCAATTTTGGCTTTTGTTGCCATTGCTTTTGGTGTTTTAGACTTGAAGTCCTTGCCCATGTCCTGAATGGTATCACCCGGGTTTTCTTCTAGGGTTTTAATGGTTTTAGGTCTAACATTTAAGTCTTTAATCCATCTTGAATTAATTTTTGTATAAGGTGTAAGGAAGGGATCCAGTTTCAGCTTTCTACATATGGCTAGCCAGTTTTCCCAGCACCATTTTAAATAGGGAATAGCACCATTTATTAAATAGTTTCCCCGTTTCTTGTTTTTGTCAGGTTTGTCAAAGATCAGATGGTTGTAGATATGTGGCATTATTTCTGAGGGCTCTGTTCTGTTCCATTGGTCTATATCTCTGTTTTGGTACCAGTACCATGCTGTTTTGGTTACTGTAGCCTTGTAGTATAGTTTGAAGTCAGGTAGTGAGATGCCTCCAGCTTTGTTCTTTTGGCTTAGGATTGACTTGGCAATGTGGGCTCTTTTTTGGTTCCATATGAACTTTAAAGTAGTTTTTTCCAATTCTGTGAAGAAAGTCATTGGTAGCATGATGGGGATGGCATTGAATCTATAAATTACCTTGGGCAGTATGGCCATTTTCACGATGTTGATTCTTCCTACCCATGAGCATGGAATGTTCTTCCATTTGTTTATATCCTCTTTGATTTCATTGAGCAGTGGTTTGTAGTTCTCCTTGAAGAGGTCCTTCACGTCCCTTGTAAGTTGGATTCCTAGGCATTTTATTCTCTTTGAAGCAATTGTGAATGGGAGTTCACTCACGATTTGGCTCTCTGTTTGTCTGTTATTGGTGTATAAGAATGCTTGTGATTTTTGTACATTGATTTTGTGTCCTGAGAATTCACTGAAGTTGCCTATCAGCTTAAGGAGATTTTGGGCTGAGATGATGGGGTTTTCTAGATATACAATCATGTCATCTGCAAACAGGGACAATTTGACTTCCTCTTCCTAATTGAATACCCTTTATTTCCTTCTTCTGCCTGATTGCCCTGGCCAGAACTTCCAACACTATGTTGAATAGGAGTGGTGAGAGAGGGCAACCCTGTCTTGTGCCAGTTTTCAAAGGGAATGCTTCCAGTTTTTGCCCATTCAGTATGATATTGGCTGTGGGTTTGTCATAGATAGCTCTTATTATTTTGAGATACGTCCCATCAGTACCTAATTTATAGAGAGTTTTTAGCATGAAGGGCTGTTGAATTTTGTCAAAGGCCTTTTCTACATCTATTGAGATAATCCTGTGGTTTTTCTCTTTGGTTCTGTTTATATGCTGGATTACGTTTACTGATTTGCAGTTGTTAACGAGCCTGGCATCCCAGGGATGAAGCCCACTTGATCATGGTGGATAAGCTTTTTGATGTGCTGCTGGATTCGGTTTGCCAGTATTTTATTGAGGATTTTTGCATCAGTGTTCATCAGTGCTATTGGTCTAAAATTCTCTTTTTTTGTTGTGTCTCTGCCAGGCTTTGGTATCAGGATGAAGCTGGCCTCACTAAATGAGTTAGGGAGGATTCCCTCTTTTTCTATTGATTGGAATAGTTTCAGAAGGAATGGTACCAGCTCCTCCTTGTACCTCTGGTAGAATTTGGATGTGAATCCATCTGGTCCTGGACTTTTTTTGGTTGGTAAGCTATTAATTATTGCCTCAATTTCAGAGCCTGTTATTGGTCTATTCAGAGATTCAACTTCTTCCTGGTTTAGTCTTGGGAGGGTGTATGTGTTGAGGAATTTATCCATTTCTTCTATATTTTCCAGTTTATTTGCATAGAAGTGTTTATAGTATTCTCTTACGGTAGTTTGTATTTCTGTGGGATCGGTGGTGATATCCCCTTTATCATTTTCTGTTGCGTCTATTTGATTCTTCTCTCTTTTCTTCTTTATTAGTCTTGCTAGTGGTCTATCAATTTTGTTGATCTTTTCAAAAAGCCCCCTCCTGGATTCATTGATTTCTTGAAGGGTTTTTTGTGTCTCTATCTCCTTCAGTTCTGCTCTGATCTTAGTTATTTCTTGCCTTCTAGTAGCTTTCGAATGCGTTTGCTCTTGCTTCTCTAGTTCTTTTAATTGTGATGTTAGGGTGTCAATTTTAGATCTTTCCTGCTTTCTCTTGTGGTCATTTAGTGCTATAAATTTCCCTCTACACACTGCTTTGAATGTGTCCCAGAGATGCTGGTATGTTGTGTCTTTGTTCTCATTGGTTTCAAAGAACATCTTTACTTCTGCCTTCATTTCGTTGTGTACCCAGTAGTCATTCAGGAGCAGGTTGTTCAGTTTCCATGTAGTTGAGAGGTATTGAGTGAGTTTTTAATCCTGAGCTCTAGTTTGATTGCACTGTGGTCTGAGAGACAGTTTGTTATAATTTCTGTTCTTTTACATTTGCTGGGGAGTGCTTTACTTCCAACTATGTGGTCAATTTTGGAATAGGTGTGGTGTGGTGCTGAGAAGAATGTATATTCTGTTGATTTAGGGTGGAGAGTTCTGTAGATATCAATTAGGTATGCTTGGTGCAGAGCTGAGTTCAATTCCTGGATATGCTTGTTAAATTTCTGTCTCATTGATCTGTCTGATGTTGACAGTGGGGTGTTAAATTCTCCCATTACTATTGCGTGGGAGTGTAAGTCTCTTTGTAGGTCTCTAAGGACTTGCTTTATGAATCTGGGTGCTCCTGTATTGGGTGAATATATTTAGGATAGTTAGCTCCTCTAGTTGAATTGATCCCTTTACCATTATGTAATGGCCTTCTTTGTCTCTTTTGATCTTTGTTGGTTTAAAGTCTGTTTTATCAGAGACTAGGATTGCAACCCCTGCCTTTTTTTGTTTTGTGTTTGTTTGGTAGATCTTCCTCTATCCCTTTATTTTGAGCCTGTGTGTGTCTCTGCACATGAGATGGGTTTCCTGAATACAGCACAATGATGGGTCTTGACTCTTTATCCAATTTGCCAGTCTGTGTCTTTTAATTGGAGCATTTAGCCCATTTACATTTAAGGTTAATATTGTTATGTGTGAATTTGAGCCTGTCATTATGACGTTAGCTGGTTATTTTGCACGTTAGTTTATGCAGTTTCTTCCTAGCCTCGATGGTCTTTACAATTTGGCATGTTTTTGCAGTGGCTGGTACCGGTTGTTCCTTTCCATGTTTAGTGCTTCCTTCAGGAGCTCTTTTAGGGCAGGCCTGGTGGTGACAAAATCTCTCAGCATTTGCTTGTCTGTAAAGTATTCTATTTCTCCTTCACTTATGAAGCTTAGTTTGGCTGGATATGAAATTCTGGGTAGAAAATTCTTTTCTTTAAGAATGTTGATTATTGGCCCCCGCTCTCTTCTGGCATGTAGAGTTTCTGCCGAGAGATCCGCTGTTAGTCTGATGGGCTTCCCTTTGTGGGTAACCTGACCTTTCTCTCTGGCTGCCCTTAACATTTTTTCCTTCATTTCAACTTTGGTGAATCTGACAATTTTGTGTCTTGGAGTTGCTCTTCTTGAGGAATATCTTTGTGGCGTTCTCTGTATTTCCTGAATCTGAATGTTGGCCTGCCTTGCTAGATTGGGGTTCTCCTGGATAATGTCCTGCAGAGTGTTTTCCAACTTGGTTCCATTCTCCCCGTCACTTTCATGTACACCAATCAGACATAGATTTGGTCTTTTCACACAGTCCCATGTTTCTTGGAGGCTTTGTTCATTTCTTTTTATTCTTTTTCCTCTAATCTTCTCTTCTTGCTTCATTTCATTCATTTGATCTTCCATCACTGATACCCTTTCTTCCAGTTGATCGAATCGGCTACTGAGGCTTGTGCATTTGTCACGTAGTTCTTGTGCCTTAGTGTTCAGCTCCATCAGGTCCTTTAAGGACTTCTCTGCATTGGTTATTCTAGTTAGCCATTCATCTAATTTTTTTTCAAGGTTTTTAACTTCTTTGCCATGGATTCAAACTTCCTCCTTTAGCTCGGAGTAGTTTGATCATCCGAAGCCTTCTTCTCTCAACTCTTCAAAGTCATTCTCCATCCAGGTTTTTTCTGTTGCTGTTGAGGAGCTGCATTCCTTTGGAGGAGGAGAGGCACTCTGATTTTTAGAGTTTCCAGTTTTTCTGCTCTGTTTTTTCCCCATGTTTATGGTTTCGTCTACCTTTGTCTTTGATGATGGTGACATACAGATGGGGTTTTGGTGTGGATGTCCTTTCTGTTTGTTCATTTTCCTTCTAACAGTCAGCACCCTCAGCTGCAGGTCTGTTGCAGTTTGCTGGAGGTCCACTCCAGACCCTGTTTGCCTGGGTATTAGCAGCGGAGGCTGCAGAACAGCAGATATTGGTGAACAGCAAATGTTGCTGCCTGATCGTTCCTCTGGAAGTTTTGTCTCAGAGGAGTACGCGGCCATGTGAGGTGTCAGTCTGCCCCTACTGGGGGGTGCCTCCCAGTTAGGCTACTCGGGGGTCAGGGACCCACTTGAGGAGGCAGTCTGTCTGTTCTTAGATCTCCAGCTGCATGTTGGGAGAACCACTCCTCTCTTCAAAGCTGTCAGACAGGGACATTTAAGTCTGCAGAGGATTCTGCTGCCGTTTGTTTGGCAATGCTCTGCCTCCAGAGGAGGAGTCTACAGAGGCAGGCAGGCCTCCTTGAGCTGCAGTGGGCTCCACCCAGTTTGAGCTTCCCAGCTGCTTTGTTTACCTACTCAAGCCTCCTCAATGGTGGGTGCCCCTCCTCCAACTTCGCTGCCACCTTGCAGTTTGATTTCAGACTGCTATGCTAGCAATGAGCGAGGCTCCATGGGCATAATACCCTCAGAGGCATGCACAGGATATAATCTCCTGGTGTGCCGTTTGCTAAGACCGTTGGAAAAGCACAGTATTAGGGTTGGAGTGACCCGATTTTCCAGGTGCCATGTGTCACCCCTTTCTTTGACTAGGAAAGGGAATTCCCTGATCCCTTGTGCTTCCCAGGTGAGGCGATGCCTCGCCCTGCTTCAGCTCATGCTAGGTGCGCTGTACCCACTGTCCTACACCCACTCTCTGACACTCCCCAGTGAGATGAACCCGGTACCTCAGTTGGAAATGCAGAAATCACCTGTCTTCTGCATTGCTCACGCTGGGAGCTGTACACTGGAGCTGTTCCTATTTGGCCATCTTGGCACCACCCTCCATATGTTTTTTATTATAGTCGTTATAATGGGTGTGAAGTGGTATTTCACTGTGGTTATTATTCACATTTTCCTGATGGCTAATGTTCTTAAGTATGTTTTCATGTGCTTATTGGCCATTTGTATATCTTCCTTGGAAAAGTATCTATTTATGACCTTTGTCCATTTTTATATTGAATAATTTATCTTTGCATTATAAATTACATGGATTTTAAAATTATATTCTAGATATCAGTATGTGATTTGCACATATTTTCTTTCATTTTCTGGGTTGTATGTTTATTTTTTGTAGTGTCTTTTTAAGAACAAAAGTTTTTGGATCTGATGAAGTCAAATTTATTCATTTCTTTTTCTTTCATTACTTGTCCATTTGGCATCCTATCTAAGAAGGCTTTGCCCAACTCTAGGTCCAAAAATGTACTCATATGTGTTTATTTTTATTTTTAATTTTTAAGTTCGGAGGGTTCATGTGCATGTTTGTTACATGGATCAATGGGGTTTGGTGTACAAATGATTTCTTCACTCAGGTAGTGAGCATAATGCTTGATGGGTAGGGTTTTGACCCTCACCCTCCTCCTGTGCTGCACTCTCAAGTAGTTCCCAGCATCTATTGTTGCCTTCTTTCTGTGCATCTGTACTCAATATTTAGCTCTCATTGACAAGTGCAGATGTGGTACTTGATTTTCTGTTCCCACATTAATTCACTTAGGATAGTGGTCTTCAGCTGCATCCACATTGGTGCAAAGGGTACAATTTTATTCTTTTTTGTGGCTGCATAGCATATCATGGTGTATAGGTACCAAATTTCCTTTATCTAGTCCACCATTGATGGGCATCTGGGTCAATTCCATTTCTTTGCTACTGTGAATGGTGTTGTGATGAACATACGAGTGCATGTGTCTTTTTGGTACAGTGAATTACTTTCCTTTGCATATATGCCCAGTAATGGGATTGCTGGGTAAAACTGTAGTTCTGTTTTAAGTACTTTGAGAAATCTACAGACTGCTTTCCACAGTGCCTGAACTAATTTACTTTCGCACCAGCAGTTTATAAGTGTTCCATTTTCTCTGCAACCTTGCCAATGTTTTTTATTTTCTGACATTTTAAAAATAGCCATTCTGAGGAGTATAACACAGTATCTCACTTTGGTTTTGATTTACATTTCTCTGATGATCAGTGATGTTGAAGATTTTTTTCACATTGTTGTTGGCTATGTGTATATTTTCTTTAGAGAAGTGTTTGTTCACGTCCTTTGCTCATTTTTCAGTGGGATTGTTTGTCTTTTGCTAAAGTTCGTTATTAACTTAAGCTCAGATTCCGGATATTAGATCTTTGTCAAATGCATAGTTTGCAAATATTTTCTCCATTCTATGGGTTGCCTGTTTACTCTGTTGAGTTTCTTTTGCTGTGCAGAAGCTGTTTAATTTAATTAGGTCCCACTGCTCTATTTTTGTTTTTGCTGCAATTGCTTTTGGAGACTTCATTATAAAATCTTTGCCCAGGCCTATGTACAGAGTGGTATTTTCTAGGTTTTATTCTAGGGTTTTTAGTTTCAGGTCTTACATTTAAATCTTTAATGCACCTTGAGTTGATTTTTATATATGGTTAAAGTAAGGGGTCCAGTTTCAATGTTCTACGCATGGCCAGCCAGTTATCCCAGCACCGTCTATTAAATAGGGAGTCCTTTCCCCATTGCTTGTTATTGTAGACTTTTTCAAAGATCAGTTGGTTGTAGATGTAAAGCTTTATTTCTGGGTCCTCTAACCTGTTCCATTGGTCTATGTGTCTGTTTTTGTACCAGAATCCTGCTGTTTTGGTTACTGTAGCCTTGTAGTATAGTTTGAAGTTGGGTAGTGTGATGCCTCCAGCTTTGTTCTTTTTGCTTAGGACTATTTTGGCTATTTGGGCTGTTTTTTAGTTTCAGATTAATTTGAGAACACTTTTCTAATTCTATGAAATGTGAAATTGGTGGCTTGATAAGAATAGCACTGAATCTGTAAATTGCTTTGGCCACTGTGGCCATTTTAACAATATTGATTCTTCCCATACATAAGCATAGAATGCTTTTCCATTTGTTTGTGTCATCTCTGATTTCTCTCAGCAGTGCTTTGTAATTCTCATTGTAGAGACCTTTAACCTCCTTGGTTAGCCATATTCCTAGGTATTTTATTCTATTTTTAGTTATTATGAATGGAATTGCATGCTTGATTTGGCTGTCAACTTGGATGTTATTGGTGTATAGAAATGGTACTTATTCATGTACATTGATTTTGTATACTAAAACTTTATTGAAGTTGTTTATCTGTTCAAGGAGCTCCCCAAAGGCAGACTACGGGGTTTTCTAGGTATAGAATCATATCATCTGCAAAGAGAATTTGACTTCCTCTCTTCCTATTTGATTGCCTTCTTTTGCCTGATGGCTCTGGCTAGGACTTCCAGTACTATATTGAATAGGAATGGTGAGACTGGGCATCCTAGTCTTGTTCTGGTTCTCAAGGGGATTGCTTCCAGCTTTTGCTCGTTCAGTATAATGTTGGCTGTGGGTTTTTCATAGATAGTTCTTACGATTTTAAGGTAGTTTGTCAAAAGTTTTTAATATGAAGGGATGTTGAATTTTATCAAAAGCCTTTTGTATGCCTGTTGGGATGACCATGTGGTTTTCATTTTTGGTTCTATTTACATGATGAATCACTTTATTGATTTGCATATGTTGAACCAGCTTTGCATCCCAGGAATAAAGCCTACTTGATCGTGGTGGATTAGCTTTTTGATGTGCTGCTGGATTTAATTTGCTACTATTTAATTGAGGATTTTTACATCTATGTTTATCTATGTTTATCAGGGATATTGGCCTGAAGTTTCCTTTTTTTGGTTATGTATCTGTCAGGTTTTGGTATGGAAATAATGGTGGCTTCATAGAATGATTTAGGGAATAGCCTCTCCTTTTTGAGGGGTGGGGAGGGATGGGGATAGTTTTAGTAGAATCAGTACTAGCTCTTCTTTACACATCTAGTAGAATGTGGCTGTGATTTCATCTAGACCACAGCTTTTTCTGGTTAGTAGTTTTTTATTACTGTTTCAATTTTGGAACTTGTTATTGGTCTGTTCAAAATTTCAATTTCTTCCTGGTTCAATCTTGGGAGGTTTTATATTTCCAGGAATTTGTCCATTTCTTCTTGGTTTTCTAGTTTGTGTGCATAGAGATGTTCATAATAATCTCTAAGGTTTTTTGTTTTTCTGTTGGTTGATGGTAATGTCAGCTTTGTCATTTCTGATTGTGTTTATTTGAATCTTCTCTCTTTTTTTCTTTAATAATTAGGCAGCAGTCTATCAATCTTATTTAGTCTTTCAAAGATCCAATGTTTTTGTTTTATTGATCTTTTGCATAAATTTCTGCATCTCAGTTTGGTTCAGTTCAGCTCTGATTTTGGTTATTTCATTTCTTCTGCTAGTTCTGGGGTTGGTTTACTCCTATTTTTCTAGTTCCTCTAGATATGACATTAGGTTGTTAATTTGAGATCTTTTTAACTTTTTTAAATGAGTGTTTAGTGCTATAAATTTTCCTCTTGAATGTTATATAGTGTTAAATGCCTACATCAAAGATAATTCAAGGATACTGTGAACACCTTTATGCACACAAACTAGAAAATCTAGAGGAAATGGATACATTTCGGAAAACATACAACCATCCTAGATTAAATCAGGAAGAAATAGAAGCCCTGAACAGACCAATAGCAAGTAGTGAGACTGAATCACTAATAAAGAAAAATTGCCAACAAAAAAGTCCAGGACCAGATGAATTCACAGCTGAATTCTACCTGACATTCAAAAAATTGGTACCAATCCTGCTGAAAGTATTCTCAAAGATTGAGAAAGAAGAATTTCTCTCTAAATCATTCTGTGAAGCCAGCATCACCATAATACCAAAATCAAGAAAGGACATAAAAGAAAATAATAGATCCATATCACTGATTAACATAGATGCAAAGATCTTCAAGAAAATACTAGATAATTGAATCTAATAGTGCATCAAAAAGATAGTACAATATGATCAAGTGGGTTTTATCCCAGGGATGCAAGGATGGTTTAACATACATAAGTCAATAATTTTGATACATCACATAAACAGAATTAAAAACAAAAACCCTATGATCATCTCAATAGATGCAGAAAAAGCATTTGATAAAATATAGCATTCCTTTATGTGAAAAGCCCTCAACAAAGTAGGCATAGAAGGAACTTACCTCAAAGTAATAAGAGCCATATATGACAAACCCACAGCCAACATAATACTGAATGGGAAAAAGTTAAAATCATTCTCCCTGAAAACTGGAAGAAGATAAGGATGCCCACTTTTACCACTTCTATTTGGCATAGTACTAGAACTTCTAGGCAGAGCAATCAGGAAAAACAAATAAATAAAGGGCATCCAAATTGGAAAAAAAGAAGTCAAACTGTTGCTATTTGCTGATGATATGATCATGCACCTAGAAAACCCTAAAGACTCATCCAAAAGGCTACTAGATCTGATCAATGAATTCAGTAAAGTTTTAGGTTACAAAATCAATGTAGAAAAATCGGTAGCACTGCTGTGTACACCAACAACAACAAATATGGGAATCAAATCAAGAACTCAATCCCTTTTACAATGGCTGCAAAAATAAAAAATAAAATACCTGAGAATATACTTAACCAAGGAGGTAAAAGATCTCTACAATAAAAACTACAAATGGAAACACATCCCATTCTCATGGATAGGAAGAATCAATATTGTGAAAATGACCATACTGCCCAAATCAATCTACAAATTCAATGTAATTCCCAGCAAAATACTATCATTTTTCACAGAGCTAGGAAAAATCCCTGAAATTTATATGGAACCAAAAAAGAGCCCACATAGACAGAGCAATAGTAAGCAAAAATAACTAATCTGGAGACATCACAT
Source organism: Homo sapiens (assembly GCF_000001405.40). Taxonomy (NCBI): domain Eukaryota; kingdom Metazoa; phylum Chordata; class Mammalia; order Primates; family Hominidae; genus Homo; species Homo sapiens. Next base: position 87,372,284 of record NC_000015.10, on the reverse strand, counting down.
TATTGGACCTCAAATTATACTACAAGGCTATAGTTACCAAAACATCATGGTACTGGTATAAAAATAGGCACTTAGACCAAATGTAACAAAATAGAGAACTCATAAATAAAGCCAAATACTTACAGCCAGCTGATCTTTGACAAAGTATGCAAAAATGTAAATTGGAGAATGAACTCCCTATTCAATAAATTGGCTGGGAAAACTGGCAAGCCACATGTATAAGAATGAAACTGGATCCTCATCTCTCACCTTATATAAAAGTCAACTCAAGATGGATCAAAGACTTAAATCTAAGACCTGAAATCATAAAAATTATAGAAGACAACATTGGAAAAACTCTTCTAGACATTGGCTTAAGTAAAGAATTTATGAATAAGACCCCAAAAGCAAATGACACAAAAAAATAAATAAATGGAACCTAATTAAACTAAAAAGCTTCTGCACAGCAAAAGAAATAATCAGCAGAGTAAACAGACAACCCACAGTCTGTGGGAGAAAAATATTTACAAACTATGCATCTGACAAAGGGCTAGTATCCAGAATCTACAAGGAACTCAAATCAGCAAGAAAAAAAAAAAAACAATAATCCCATCAAAAAGTGAGCAAAGGACATGAATAGACATTTCTCAAAAGAAAGATATACAAACAGCCAACAAACATGAATAAATGCTCAACATCACGAATCATCAGGGAAATGCAAATTAAAACCACAATGAGATATCACCTTACTCCTGCAAGAATGGTAATAATAAAAGAGTCAAAAAACAATAGATGTTGGCATGGATGTGGTAAAAAGAGAACACTTTTACAATGCTGGCGGGAATGTAAATTAGTATAATCAGTATAGAAAACAGTATGGAGATTACTTAAATAACTAAAAGTAGATCTACCATTCACTCCACTACTGGGTATCTACCCAAAGGAAAAGAAGTCATTATATGAAAAATACATATGTATATGCACGCTTATAGCAGCACAATTCACAATTGCAAGAATATAGAACCAACCTAAGTGCCCACTGACCAACAAGTGGTTAAAGAAAATGTGTTATTTTACACCGTGGACTACTATTCAGCCATAAAAAGAAACAAAATAATGTTTATTGCAGCAACTTGGATGGAACCGGAGGCCATTATTCTAAGTGAAGTAACTCAGTAATGGAAAACCAAATAACATATATGCTCATTTATAAGTGGGAGCTAAGCTGTGAGGATGCAAAAACGTGCAGGGTGATATAATGGACTATGGGGACTTGGAGGAGGAAGGTTGGGAGGAGAGTGAGGAATAAAAGAAAATATATTAAATACAGTATACACTGCTCAGGTGATGGATGCACTAAAAATCTCAGAATTCACTACTAAAAAACTCATCCATGTAACCAAAATCCACCTGTACCCCCAGAACTATTGAAGTTTTTAAAAAAATTATACAAAAAATCCTTTCCTCTTAATACTGCTTTAGCTGTGTCTCAGGGATTCTGGAAAGTTGTATCTTTGTTTTAATTAGTTTCAATTTTTTTTTTATTTCTGCCTTAATTTCATTTTTTTAACCCAAAAGTCATTCAGAAGCAGGTTGTTTAATTCCCATGCAATTATATGGTTTTGAGTTGTTTATCTGCTATTGCTATACATTTTTATTGTCCTGTGGTCTGAGAATGTTGTTGGTATGATTTCATTTCTTTTAAATTAGTTAAGAATTGCTTTTCCACCAAGCATGTGGTTGATCTTAGAGTATGTGCCATGTGCAGATGAGAATAATATGTATTCTGTTGTTGCTGGGTGGATTATTCTGTAGATATCTCTTAGGTTCATTTGGTCAAGTGTCAAGTTTTGGTCCTGAATATCTTTGTTAGTTTTCTGTCTCATGATCTAACATTGTTAGTGGGATGTGAGGTCACCCACTATTATTGTATGGTTATCTAAGTCTCTTCATAGGTCTCTAAAGCCTTGTTTTATGAATCTTTATACTCCAGTCTTGGGTGCATACATATTTAGGATAGGTAAATCTTCTTTCTGAATTGAAACCTTTATCATTATGTAATGCCCTTCCTTGTCCTTCCTGATGATTCTTGGTTTAAAGTCTATTTTGTCTGAAATAAGAATAGCAACTCCTATTCTCTTTTGTTTTCCATTTGTTTGATAGATCTTTCTCCATTCCTTTACTCTGAGCTGGTGGGTGTCATTGCATGTGACATATGTCTCTTGAAGACAGCATACAGTTTGGTCTTGCTTCTTTATCCAACTTCCCACTCTATGTCTTTTAAGTGGGGCATTTAGCCTGTTTACATTCAAAGTTATTATTGATTTGTAAGGGTTTGATCCTATCATTGTGTTGTTAACTGATTTTTATGTAGACTTGATTGTATAGTTGCTTTATAAAGTCACAGAGCTGTATACTTAACTGTGTTTTTGTGGTGGCAGGTAATCATCTTTCATTTCCGTGTTTAGCACTCCATTAAGGACCCCTTGTAAGGCAAGTCTGATGGTAGTGAATTCCCTTAGCATTTGCTCATCTGAAAAGGTTTTTATTTCTCCTTCACTTATGAAGCTTAGTTTAGCTAAATGTGGAATTCTTGGTTGGAATTTCTTTTCTTTAAGGATGCTTAATGTAGGCCCTCAATCCCTTCCAACTTGTAAGATTTCTGCTGAAAGGTCTATTGTTAGCCTGATGGGGTTCCTTTTGTATTGACCTGCCTCTTCTCTTTAGCTGCATTTAAGATTTTTTTCTTTCAAATTGACTTTGAAGAATCTGATGACTATGTGTCTTAGGGATGGTAATCTTTTGTAGTATCTCACAGGGGCTCTCTGAATTTTTGTGGACAATATCCTCAAATATGTTATCCAAGTTGCTTACTCAGTCTCCTACACTTCCAGGAATGCCAGTGAGTCATAGGTGTGGTCTCTATGTAATCTCACATTTCTCAGAGGTTTTGTCTGTTTTTTAAAGTTCTTTTTTATTTTTTTCTGCCTGCATTGATTTGAAGTAGTGGCCTTTGACTTCTGAGATTCTTTCCTCAGCTTAGTCTATTCTGTTATTAATGCTTCTAGTTGCATTCTGAAATTCCTATAGTGAATTTTTCATTTCCAGAAGTTCAGCTTTGTTTTTCCATAAAATGAATATGTTGCTTTTCAGCTCTGTGACCATTTCACTGTTTTTCTTTGATTGTGTTTCAACCTTCTCCTGTATTTCAGTGAGCTTCCTTGCCATCCACATTCGGAATTCTGTATCTTTTATTTCAACCATTTCAGTATGGCTAACAACCATTGATGGAAAGCTAATATATTCTTTTGGAGGTAAGAAGATACTCTGGCTTTTAGAGTTGCCAGGGTTCTTGTACTTGTTATTTCTCATCTCATCTTTGTGGACTGATGCTTCTTGAATCTTTTAAGTTGCTGTCTTTTGGATGGGGCTTTTCACTTTTATATTATTTGATGTCCTTGAAGGTTTAGTCAGTTGGCTTCATTTCTGGATACTTGCAGGAGGCCAAGACTCAGCTTAGCACTCCTGGACTGTGTGTTCTAACCCTGAGGGGATGAAACCAGGCCTGCAGCTTTGTTCTCTGGCTCCTCAAGATTAAGCACCAGCTGTGCTGGAGGGCTCCAGGTGTTTCCAGTCCACTGGCAACAACACTGCAACTGGGGCTGCCAGAAAAAGCACTCTGGTGTGGTGTTGGTGGGTCCAAGTGTGCATGCATGCTGGCTGGATGGTGGGGGTCCTCGTGCACGTTCTGGTAGGGTGGAGGCAAGTCCACACTTGTGCATGCCAGTGGGTAGTGGCAGGGTCCCAAGTATGTGCACCATGGCAGGGTAGCAAGGGGAGGCTGTGGACAGAGGCACTCCAGCAGAGAAGGCTGTGACTAGGCTGCACACTGGTAGGGTTCTTCCTACATTACTCTGACAGATAGGCAGGGTCTGCAAGTGAAAAAACCATGGTAGTGGTTACTACCAAGCTGAGGCTGTACTATAAGCAGATATTGCCAGAGCCCAGCAGACAGGGGAGTTCTAAGACAAGATTAGCCCCATCCCACAGGCAAGACAGCCCTGCTTAGCCCGGGCACCACAGTTAACCAAGGCTGAAGCCTCCTAGAGAAGTATGGCAAGCCTTGGGGGATGGGCACACATGGCTGAACTCCACTGCAGCCATTCTTGTGCCAAACATTCTGGCCTCCATGCAAGCTGGAGTTCTGTTTATGCCAACTTTCCAGGCAGTTCCCCCTTGTCAACTCAGATGTCCATGGGGATTGTGAGGTTTCTCACAGCTAGAATCCTTGAGATCCATGGCAACAGTAGGCTACTCTCTGCCTATGTTTCTCATCTTTCCCTAGGAGCCTCTTGAGGCCAGGAACAAGTCCTGGTGCTCAGCAACCCTGTGCATGATTCCTAGTTTCCTTTCCTTTCAAACTGAGGTTGGTATCCTCCCTCTGTCCACTCACAATGCATTCTTTCTGTAGATCTGCTTACAGTGTGACAATCTACTTGATGGTCTGGTCTTTCTCGGTGGGAGAAGCTCCTCCTGGCTGCATCTAGTCAACCATCTTGCAGGGTCTGCTCATACATTTTCTTCCAACAGCTTTATAGTTTTAGCTCTTATGTCTATGATATGTCTATGATCCATTTTGAATTAATTTTTGTCTGTGGTGTTGTTCTAGTTACCGTTTGTTGAAAAGATGACTCTGTCTCTCAATGAATCTTCTTGCTACCCTTGTCAAAAATCACTTGACTGTAAATGCAATGTGTTCTGTTTCTACTTTTTAACATGGAAAGTTTTGAGAGTCTAGGAAACTACTGGTGACAAAACTCTGTTACATAGTACCGCAGTCAAACCAAGTCTCTCTAGGGCTGCCTGTGTCCCAGAGCCATATGTTACACAGCCAGCCTCTATTTAGCTCACCTAGTTATATCTTTCAAGTATCTAATGAATTGGAGAGTTAGGGTAGAAGAGAAGTAATGATAATAATGATAATAAGAATAGTAAATTTTGAGAACCTACTATGCATCATGGACTATTTAAAGCATGCATTGTCTCATATAATTCTCACAACCATCTTACCCAGGTTGGTACTCTTGAAGAAAGAGAGCAATTAAAAAAAGTGATGCATGGAAATTAAGAAATTTATTCAAGGTGACTAATCTAGGAAATGGTAAAATACGGCTGTAAAGCCAGATGATGTACCTCTGGAGTTTGCCCAATCAATTACTACTCTAGACTCCATTAAATAATCAAGAATTCACCAATTTTTCAAAGTAATTGATCTGTTTTTATTTTGGTATCACTTTGTGACTCTCAAATGCAGAGGAGCCTAGGTCTTGAAGTGAGCCACTTCACAGAAACCTCTGAAGTTGATAAAACAGCTAATATTGTAAATTTTAGTCCAGAATTTTAAAGAGGAAACCATAATTCTTTTGCATAGGATTCACTAAATCAGTGAATAGAAGTGCCCACAACAGTGCCCTGAATGTGAAGGTTGGATATGGATATGTGGTTGGGAAAGATCATGGCTTTTGGAGCCAAATAACCATGAATCTAATGTGTGACATGGGCTAGGATCTTACCTCTATCAGCTGTCATATATGCAAACGGAACAGTGAAAATATTCAGGATTGTTATGAGAATTTACTGATAATATAACTGCCTGGCACAATGCCTACCACATAGAACAAGTTCAATAAGTGCTATTTTTGCTTTATTATGATGATGGTTATTTTCTCCAAATAGGAAATAGGTTCCAAAACATGGCTGAAAACATGTTTAACTCACAGTTGGATTGGCAAACGGAAGTATTATTGTATACTTTTCAATAGAGTTAGGGAAAATATACTATACTACTTTCTGGAAGCTCAACCCTACTTTCTATCTGCCTTATCTCCTAACTTGAATGGTTGGGTGCCCACAGCCCTTTTGCATTAAATTTTACATTGATTTTTATGACCCTGTTATTCCATGTAATATCTGAGTACTCCGACTTCTCAGTATCTCTCTCCCCCTCCCTGGTGTGGTATGAAATAAAGTTCATAGCAGCATTATAATAGATCCGCCAGAATCCAAAAGTGGAGGTTACCAAGTAATTATCTGAAGGAGACTCCAAAAATGTCTATTTTTATGTTCATATATAAAAATGGTTTTAAAGTTAGGGCAAGCCAAAACATGTCCCAGTTTATGTTCTCAGAGATTGTGACTTCAAATGCTATTCTCTGTCATTTTTTTCTTCACTCAAAAAAGAAATAATAAACAGAGCCAAAGCAACCAAGGTCTTGGTTGGGGCTCAATCCTTAAGAAGGGTGGAGCTCTTTTCTTTCTTTGGGGGTAGGGGTGGGAGTTGGGTTGGCAGACAGGTGCTGTTCTCTGGAATGGGTACCCCATCTTTATAGACTGCCTCCAGGACCCACATCTATCTCCTATTATGATATAATCTTTGGCCCATCTGTTCTATTTATAAACCCTGTGGGGCCTTTTAATGTTGACCCTTAATATGAGCTCAACTTAATGTTAGGAAAGGATATTTAACTAACCTTTGCTCTTAGAAATTGCTAAAACTGTCCATTAATCTATCATTCATACTCAGGTACCTATCTTCTATCCACATTACCATCTCTGCCAAGCAGGTAAAATGCAGAGGCTTTTGAAAAAATTGGATCCATTGGGATGTAGAGGACTAGTTGTCCTGAAATTAGCAAAAAACCTGGGGACCAGCTAGGTCAGTATTTTCTTACCAGGGATGCTTCTATACCCAGAGAATCCCAGAATCAGCTTACTTATTGAAATCCCTAACAATGACCTTTTCCATAATTCTCATGCCTGCTGGCAAACACAATGAGCTGCCTTCTGCCAATTGTATCTGCCGAAGGCTAGCAGAGTGATGATCTCAGATATAGAACTTCCCCCAATCCCTTTTGTACCACAGGAATGCTTGATGATTGCTATTCTACTCCTGCCAGTTCCTTCTTCCTAGTGGGTTCTTATGGCTCTCTCTTTATCTTTAAGCATAATTAATTGGTTCAAAGTGTTAATGCTGCAATGCAGGCATGTAAGTACTGCATCTCGGACCCAGGGAATTGGGAGCTCATCTCTCCTCACAGATGGCTGCATGGAAGTGTGAGGTGAAAGTAAGGCCTGCAATTCGACTTGTGAAGTGTCTTGGGACCCACACGATGGGTGTCTGGGGGTGCTGTAAAGATATCATGATTAAACAAACGGGTGGTATTAGATTGTATCACATGCTGCTATCTTTTATTGTGCTATAAAATGGCTCATTTAGGGATAAATGGGAATTTAAACTTTTCTGCTGTGATCTGTTGTCCCATAGGTTTTTAACATAATTCAGTCACTCTCTCACCCCCTTACTCCTATACCCTCAACCCTCACATTGCTCACTTTTCTTTTCTTTTCTTTTCTTTTTCTCTCTCTTTCTGTCGCTTTCTCTTTTTCTTTCTCTTTCTTTCTTTCTCTTTCTCTCCTTCCCCTTCCCTTCCCTCTTTCCTTTTCTTTCTTTCTTTTTTTTTTTCTTGAATCCAAACCTCTTAGTTCTGTCATCATTAATTATGGGAATTTTTTTTACCAGGTTATTAAATTCTCTGAGGCTGTTCTTTTTGTCTCTAAAACTGAGATAATACCCATTTCCTAAGGTTGTTGAGAGTTTAAATGAACTATAATATTCATAGATAAAATCTTGCACTGCTCCTAGGCTTAATAGGTTCTCAGTTAATGTGAGTTCTTTTCTCTTTCTTCCTAAAAATTATATTGCAGAAAATGGATGGGGAGATCTGTGGCCTAATGCTTCAACCTTTGTGGGAACAGAAATTAGGATGGCTGAATGATAGGTCAAATGTTCCCACTGCCTTACTAAAGGCTTCCCTGAATGGGAGAAGGGATGCTAAAGTGGAGGTGACAGGACAAAATTTGTTCCAGGACAATAAAATCTACCAGTGTTACAGGCCAAACTGTGTATCTACTCCATATTTCTATGCTGAAGTCCTAACCTCCAGTGCCTCATCAAGTGGTTATATTTGGAGATAGAGTCTTTAAAAAGATAACCAAGTTAAACTGAGGTCATTAGTTTAACTCATGAGGTGGGCTCCAATCCTGGTGTCTTTATAAGAGGGAGGAGGTTAGGAAAGGAAGACCCTGTTAAGACATCCAAAGAAGACAGCCATCTACCAGCCAAGGAAAAGGGCCTCAGGGAAGAACCAAACCAAAACAAAAGACCAGGAGTTGTGAGAGGCCTCCAAAATGGTAAGAAAATAAATTTATGTTGTTTTAAGCCACCCAGTCTGTAGTGCTTTTCAAAAGTAGCCCTAGGAAGCTAATTCTATGAGGAACTTATGGTCCATATTTCTGTAATTATAAAACTAATGTCAGCTACAGGAGGATAAAGCAGAAATATTTAGGTTATGAAGGGACCATAGTTTAGAAATATGAAGGGGGACCTGGGGGCTAAATATGTCATAAACTGACGAAGGAATGGTCTGACTATCTGAGTTACAAAATGTAAAAAGCTAAGCAATTGAAGACAAGGCATGCTTCACCTCAGAGCTGACAGGCTGGTGTCAGCCATGCCTCTGCAGAATGCCTTTCCAGCAGCCACTGAGAATTATCTCTGCCTTTTAATCCTCTCATTGCAGAGTTGTTTCAGGCAGATTATTCCTAAAAACCTCATGTAATTAATATCAATTATTTAGATTTGCTGCTTTAGTCAGTGTCAGATTTTTCAGCACAGGACAAGATGTTATTACTATTATTACTGCTAATTATGGAGTTGAGTCTATATTGACAATTGGATTCAAAAATGGGAAAATCAAGGTTTAGTTATTGCTAAACTTTAGGAGCAGGAAAACTTGAAGTTGGAATCATTATTCTTTATCGAGGAGTTACCTTCCGGTAGTTCCTTGGGCTATGGGGTGAGGGTTTGGCGATACACTGCCTGTGTTCCACCCCGACTTTGCCCCATGTTAGCTATGTAACTTTGGCCGTGCGTTGCTGTCTCTGTGCCTATGTTTCCCCATTTGTAAAAGTGGGGTGATGTTAGGGTCTACTTCACTGTGAAGTTGCTGTGAAGTTTAAATGAGGTAATACATGTAAAGCCTTCAGAACAAGCCTTAGCACATGTAATTTCCAAACACATGAGAGATTGCATTATTAATATTGTTAAGATTCTATTCCAGAATGTACACCAAGGGACAAGTGTGTAATATGGTAGATGAGGAGTTGGGTCAACTGAGATGTGAATTCCAGCTCTGTCACTCACAGGTCAAGTGAGCAAATTACCTGAGTTCTCTGAGGTTCAGTTCTCTCACTTGAAGAAAGGGGATAATAGTATCTACCTCACTGGAGTACCAGGTGTGTGATGAATATTAATTGCTCTGATTTGTTGAGTATTTGTGACTTCCCAGGTACTGTTCTGATAGCTTTATCCCATCCACTAAATTAACACTTTCTTCAAATCTATGTGATAGGTACTATTACATTCATGTTTCAGACAAAGAAAGTAAGAATTGGAGAGGGTGAATGATTGGTTTGAGAAGTCACTCTGCTTCTCACTGGCAGTGCCAAACAATCTGACTCATCAGGCTTGCCACTAACTACCCTTATTTCCGTTAAGGATTCTCCTACCTTTTCCTATTCCCATCCAGCCTCTCATCTGATTTCTAACTCTGATGTCCTACTCCTAGGGAACTGAAACTTACACTTTTGCTAAAACCTTCAGCAACCATTAGATTGAATACATGATATATTGGCCACTTACTGACATGCACGTTGTTCCCAATTTTTTTAAAAGAGTTTTAATAATAAAGTCAATTAGAAAACTCTAATGGCAGCCCATTTTCTCAGAATGCCCTGTGCTACATAGGTCTCCTGAGTGAATGTTCTGTTCGCTTTGGAATTACATTGCTCTCTGCTAGTGTAATCACCCATTTATTCATAAAAGAAATATTTATTCAGCTGACAGTAGATACTAGAGGCTGTTCTGGGTTCTGGAAATAAAGCGTTGACAAAAACATTAAAGGATTCCTGCCCTAATAGAATATTCTAGAGGAAGAGAGAGATAAATATAAACATAAAATATAAATTTATTTTATAAAAATAAATGTTATGTAATTTTATATTCATATATATTAATATGTATATGTATGTTATAGATATAATGCCTATTTATATTTTATAAAAATATATTTTATAGTTTTATATTTATATATTTTATATATTATATAAAATGTAATTTATATAATATGTACATTTATAAAAATATTTTTATATATATATATATATCTCCATTCATTTGTTCATTGTCTCTCTCCCTCCTGTAGAATGTTAGCTCCATTAGGGCAGGAATGTTTTAATGTTTTTGTCACTGCTGTACTTCTAGAACTCAGAACAGCATCTAGTACCTAGTGTCAGCTTAGTAAATATCTCTTCCATGAATGAATGGGTAACTACACCAGCAGAGAGCCATCTAATTGTATATGTAATGGTTATATAATGTATAATAGTTATATATATATACACATACACACACACACACACACACACACACACACACACATATATATGTATATTATTATTTATTTTTTGAGACGGAGGCTCGCTCTTGTTGCCCAGGCTGGAGTGCAGTGGTGCAATCTCAGCTTACTGCAAGCTCCGCCTCCCAGGTTCAAGTGATTCTCCTGCCTTAGCCTCTCAAGTAGCTGGGATTACAGGCACCCGCCACCACGCCTGGCTAATTTTTGTATTTTTAATAGAGACAGGATTTCACCATGTTGGCCAGTCTGGTCTCAAATTCCTGACCTCAGGTGATCCACCCACCTTGACCTCCCAAAGTGTTGGGATTACAGGCATGAGCCACTGTGCCCGGCCTATATCTATATTATATATAGAATATATAAATATAATGCCAGAGACCAGAAGTACTTTGGAAAGATAGGCTGGTATAGCAGCTGGGTGTAGACTCTGGAGCCAGACTCTTTGATTTAATGTCAGCTCTGTCTCCTGCCAACTGCGTGACCTTGGGCAGATTTTAACCTCTCTGTGCCTTTATTGTCTTCTCTGTAGAGTAGGGGTGACAATAATCTCATAGCATTGTTATGAAACTTAAATGAGTTAACACTGTAATCTCATTTATAAGAATGTATTCTTTATACATGCTTGATAAATAAATGGAGAGAAAAGTAGAGCAGAGAAGGATATAGTGAGTGTTAGAAGGGATGCCATTCAGTTTATAAGGGGGAGATCACTAAGAAGGTGACGTTTTGCAGTAGAGGAGCACTTCTATGCTTTCTAAGCAGAGTGAACCAGAAGAGTCATTACTCTGATGTGGAAATTTGCAGGACATGTTTGAATAATAGCGTGGATATGGGATATGAGAGAAAGGAAATAATCAAAGAGGGCTGCAAGGACTTCGGCCTAAAGAGGGCTAACTGAGATGAGGAGATTGGGATGCAGCAGGAGATTAGGGTGAGAGAAGATGGGGAGTACATGTTAGGTTTGAGGTTTGTCTTGGATATCTTAACGGAGACATGGAAAGGTGGCCACAGGAGTCTCAAGTCTAAGAGAGAGGCTCACACTGGAAATATAAGCTTCAGAGTCCTTGACATGTGCATGATGTTTAAAGTAAAGAGACTGTATGGAGCACCAAGGGAGTGAGGGTAGATAAGAAAGAGGAGCAAGATTGGAGCCCTGGAATATCATCCTGAAATTAAGAGACTGGAGAAAAGGGGAGGTATTAGCCAAGGCTGCTGAGAAATGGCCAGTGTAATGGGAAGAAAATCAAGAAAGCATAGTGTCTTGGAAGCAAAGTGAAAGGGGAAAAAATGTGTTTGAATTAGAAGGGAATGATCAACTGCCCTAAATGCTGATGACAAGTCAAGTAAAATTGGCTGAGAATTGACCATTGGTTTGAATAATGTAAAGGTAATTGACAACCTTGACAAATATGATTTTGGTGGACTGGCAAGAGCATATACATCGCTGAATTTAAGACACTTAACAAGTAATTGGAGGAGAGGAATTAGACACCGAGTACAGGCAAATCCTTCAAATAATTTTGCTGCTATTTATTATTCAATTTTAAATTATTTAAACTTATATGAATTTGCTGTAAGAGGTGGGAGGTCAAGTACAAATGTTAAAGAGTGAACAAATACAATGGTGAAGAAGTTCTCTAATGATTGTTTAATTATAAACTGAAAGGAAGAGTTAGGGAAAAGATGTTAGAAGTTGGAAGAAAAGGGAAAAAGTATGAAAGTGTTCTCCTGGAGAGTGAGTGATGGGATCGAGGATTTGGCATGAGATTCCTGGATATAAGCAAGAGCCCAATGTAGTCTCCTGACTACATAAAATGATGCAGGACAGTACATTTGTAAGTCATTCTACGGCCGTGTTCTACAGCCAGGATGCAAGCAGGAAGTAGGCTGAGAGCTGGGTTTAATTAGGGTTCTGGTTTTGCCAGTTGTATGCTGTGAAGGTCAAGATAAGCGAGGGAAATGAGGGTATATTTAAGGAGTGATTATAATGAAGGACAATGGAATTTAAACTGGGAAGAAGGGAAGAGACCACTGGGAAGAGAAAGTGCAAAGGTGTTGTCAAGATTTTATTGGATGGCTGGGCGCGGTGCATTCATGCCTGTAATCTCAGCAATTTGGGAGGCTGAGGTGGGCAGATCGCCTGAGGTTAGGAATTCGAGACCAGCCTTGCCAACATGGTGAAACCCTGTCTTTATTAAAAATACAACAATTAGTCAGGTGTGGTGGTGGGTGCCTGTAGTCCCAGCTGCTTGGGAGGCTGAGGCAGAAGAATTGATTGAACATGGGAGGCGGAGGTTGCAGTGAGTTGAGATCACACCACTGCACTCCAGCCTGGGAGACAGAGTGAGATTCTGTCTTAAAAAAAAGATTTAATTGGAGTTTAGCCACCTGAAATAACTATTGGGAAAGAAAGGAAGTGGTGGTGCATAGAACTATGACTGTGGATGGGCTATGGCTCTTGGTAGTGATGGGGTCAATATTATGAGCCTAAAAGTAGAGGCTGAGGTAGAGTGAAGAACAAAACCAGTGAGGGAAAAAGCTCAAGGAATTGAATTCTGAGTGTGGAGAATGTCTTTACATGTGTAGGAAAAAAAAATCAATGAGTAAGAGTTGTGTGGAGGGCCGGACACAAGCTGGAGGGAAAATATTAAGGGAGCACACAGGAGTCAAGAATAACTGAAACAAGGAGCAGATGTTCTTTATATAATCTGATGTCAAGCGATTCAAAGTTGGAGGTTTTAGGGCTGGAAGGGAAACACAGAGGGAGAAAAGTCTGAAGAGGAAGTGAGGACCAAGGAAGATGCCCTCTTCACTGCCCGCTACCACTTGAGAGGGCTGCAGGGAAAGCAGCTCTCAGGGGGACTCCAGTTTCAGTGACAGTGAGAAGTCGAAAGGGAAATTCAGAGAAAAGTTTGGGAATATAGGACGTGGGCTGGGTGCGGTGGCCTCATGCCTGTAATCCCAGCAATTTGGGAGGCCGAGGCGGGAGGATCACTTGAGCCCAGGAGTTCAAAAATATAGGAGATTATGTTGCCAATGGGCTGGGAATTCTAGGGGGTGAAGTGAAAGGTTTTAGAAGCCAGGGGGTTGTGGATGCAGGGAATAGAGGATGTGACATGCAAAGCCTTTCGGGGATTGAACTAAGAGGGCTGAAGATGACCTGTAATTTGGGAGTTTCTTACAATATAAACTAGAATAAGGGGCAACATGAGATTAATTCCTAGTGGACTTTAAGTATGTGATAGTGAATATTGGGGGCAGGCAAGTTTACATTCTGGGATACCTTCTAGATCTCCATGGATGAGGGCCAGGGGTGGAGAAAGTGTGGAATTAGTCTGTAAGCATGCACATCTGTCTTGATGACTGGTGGGGAAGGGTGGAGTTATTCAGTGTGCAGGGCTCTTCTCTGATAATCATGGGTGGAACTGAGTAGGTTTGGGGACCTTCAGCAATATTCCCTGCACCCAGACCCCTGTTAATACTTATCAATGGACACTGAATAAATTCATAGAAAGTTGCGTTAACTAATGAAGCTAGGCACCCATTGACCTACCTGCTGGTAGTTTCAAGGCTGAAAGTTTTCACACTGTGGTTAAATAGACTACACAGCTGGCTGTGTTGTACTGAGGACTCTTAGAGTGGGAAATGCTACTGGCAATCCATCAAAAGCAGATGTCTGCAGTACCCGGCAGTGCTTTAAAATCCCCTTAGGCAGTGGCCACAGGAAAATTAAAACTTCTTGCAATGAAATGCTAGTTTTCATATATGTCCCAGGGTAAGAATTCCTCGGATCTCCCTACACCCTAGTTTTGAGAGACATAGCAGTACCATTCACTGCTTGATGGGCCTCCTTGTGACTCCTTCTGAGGGTAGCAAATGGCTGATTCCAAGGAAGTCACTTGGACTTCCTTGTGGTTACTGTTGATGCTAATTTGGCTCTGTTGTCAAAGTGCCTGCAATTCCCAGTGCTCTGCAGGACAGAAATACATAGGTTGATGGGCAGATAGATGACAAGTGGAAACATCAGGCAGGCTAAACTGTTGAGCTGTAAGTGAGAGGAGAGTGGATAGAGAACACTGACAGACAGCAAAGAAAAAAAGTGACAAAGAATAGATTCCCTAGAGGACAATTAGCACACCATGAAAACATAACCTAGTGAAACAACAGCTCTGAGTTCTAAAGACAAATCTCAATTAAGTCTTCAGATGGTTCCCTGCTAAGAGTTAATAAATTAGTTTATTCTTCATAGCTAACTGCATAGTTCTTTCAAGCACCCATGTCCCCATCTGTTTCATTAACAGATTAACTTAAATCCATAAAATTAGCAAAGAAACAGAGCAACTGGCCTAAGATAAGTGACCAGAATTCATTCCTGGAATAGCCTTCAGAAGAGCCTCTACAGGGGTAAAAACCGAAGAATCAAAGATATTTTTCAAGGATAAAATTTGCTTTGAGTTTTCATTAGTTTTTCAGTATATGAAATATGAGTAAAAGACCAGGGGTACAGAAATAAGTTGAATGCATTGTTTTTCCTTGTGATACTCAAAAGGTAACCACCAGGATTCCAACATAGTGCTGGCCCAAAGTCACCTTTGAACTGGGAGATTCTCATGGAAATTCTAACAGAATAAACTCTGGTCAGTTTCTCCTTATCTTTTTTAAAATATAAGTGCGTGCAGATGAGGACTGAGCTACATTTGCTGTGTTACAGTCTGGACCTTGACGGCAGGTAGAGTTGGATAAAAAGCAAAACAATGGACATTGTTAGGAAGTCCGTTGTCTTCTGCCTTCCAGTGGAGGGGGATTTTGTCCCTCTCACCAACGGGGAAGAATGGTTGGTTTTATTGGGTCCTGCTAAGAGAGGGAATAAAATTTAAAAAGGATAAATAATTGTACATTTGCCAAAACAGAGATCTTTGGTGAGCGTGGCCAGGAAAGGTTTTATGGAGTGGTAGGGACAGAAGTCAGATGAGAATGGATTGAAGAGCATGGGAAAGGAGGAATTGGAGACAGCATGCATAAACAACACCAGAGAAGTCTGACTATTAAAAATGAGGGATATAAGGCTATAGTTTGGATGGGGAAATGGAAGGTTAGTTACACTGAGATAGTGGAGCTTGTTTGCTAATGAGAGTAAGCCAGAAGGCAGACTGGAAGAAAGTGATGAAGCAGGAGACAGTGGGGGAAATTGAGGGAGGAAATTTTTGAGGAGGCCAGAGGAGAGAGAAATCCCTTCAACAAGAGGAGAAACAAAAAAGGAAAAAAAGAAAATGAGAAAGGGTGAGACTTAGCCACTACAGTTGCCTGCCTGCTAGGACCGTGCAATGTTACTGTTATACTGTGGTGGATGTTTACAGAGAGATATATTCATTGTTGATTTGGACTTGATGGGTGCTTAGTTTGGGCTTTCTCTCCTTTTGGTAAACTTTCTATTTGTAACCCAAATTTTGATTTTTTGAAGTGATGGAGGATTGCAAAAAAAATTATGTCTTTTGTAATAACCTGTTTTTTATGAACTCATCATTGCTTAGGGAAAAAATATGTTGCATTTTCTAAGACAGCATCAACAGAATAGGGCAGGGAGAATATTATCTCTAAAAGCTTCTGCATCATCCTCTTAAAATGTTAATGTCCCATTTCCAGCTGAACAGATAAGCCTCTACTACTTGGATGCAACTAGTCCTAATGAATGTGAGTGCCAAGCTCAAAAATAAAGAACCCGCTTTTGATTGCAGAAAGCATCTTTCACAAGGAAAAAAAAATTAAGTCATTATTTAAAAATTGTTCCATTAGTGTACCATGAACAAAGGAGAGTGAGCTTGAAAAAATGAAACAGCTTTTATTTTTGAGCACTTTATTTTCAATGGGATTATAAACAAGATTCTCATGAAACTCTTCAAACAGAACATGAGGATGAAATATTGAGTTGCTTTGGTCCACTTATTGTCTGCCAGAATTGTTTTTGTTTTGCTTCCTTAATTCAGTTGCAAGTTGTTTTTTTGTTATTGTTGAGTAGGGGAAATGAAGGGGCATCTGGATGCTCTTCTGCGCTACAGGTTGCAATACGAAGTGGAGTTAAAGCAACTAGAAGGAAGTGTCAGTAACCAAGCTGAGAGAGGCTGGAAGGAAAACAATTCATGCAGCAGAAAAGAAAGCCTTTTGAGCACTGTGATGTCAGAAGGTGACTTGGAAGATGATCTAAATGTTAAACTGGCAGTGAAGGTGAGTTTGCTTCTTTTTCCTGGGACACACTATTCCCTAATTTTAATTGAAGTAGATGTAGCAAATGTAAGGTTATTGCCAAAGCTATTTTATACTTTTTGAGAATATATGTAATCATACCCACAAACACCCACACACATAAACATGCATATAAATGTCATTGAGATGGATTTGTTCCTAAAAAGACCTGCAGCCTAATTTTGAGACCTGTGGTTTGGAGAAGGTTGAGAAGAATTTTCCCATTATTAATATGGACCCAGGCCAGCTTGAAGACAGACACTCAATCATAATTTGTAGGCACTGAAGTGGCTAAAATGAACATACAACATTGTTTAACTCAACCCCAGAGCTAAGGAAACACGTACCCTTTCCCCTTGGGGTAAAAAACTAGTTGAAATGATATCCTTGTCCCAGATTGCCCTTGTAGATCCACAAAAGAACACACACAGATCTGAATATGAATCAGCCCCCTCTATACACATTGCTTTTCTCTTATCTCTGCTACATTACTCACTATATTATTCATAAATTATTATTTTGGTTCATGCTCTTTCTTTAGTAAACTCTAGCTACAAGTATAAAGGAGATGGAGGTCCTCTACCAATATTTCCTTAGGGTTAGGAAATGTGATCACAGGATATATGAACACAGATGTATTATTCACCCAAAGCTGTGAAAGTCATAAGACTGGCAAAGATACATCATACCTGAGAAATGAGACAGCCAGTGGTGCTCCTGCTGCCAGCTCTTTATACACTAACCGAGGATGATAAGCTTTCTAGTTATGGCCACGGAGTCATAACACACCAAATCAACAGTCAAATGCAATCCAATGAATGGTCAGCTCAATTACAAAATAAAACTAAGTAAGGGAAATTAATATTAGTTGTCCTGGTATGTCCTCTAAAGACTTACTGAAAAAAAAAAAAAAGAAACACTTAAAATAAATTCATTTGTGGTAGTTCTAACCATCTTTTTTTCCTTTTATTATCTTTCTGCCCTAAAGTGTTTACTTTTTTCAAATTTCCTGTTGGAATCAATAAGGTAACATGGCATTCACAAGAGTCATAGTAAGGCAAGCTTACCTCGAGTGTTTGACTTATAAAGATCAAGGTTAAGTAAGAGACAGAAGCTGTAAGCAGAAGAACCCCCAGCAGCAGGTTAATCAGTGACATTAAGGTGTTGTTTGTTTGTTTGTTTGAGATGGGAGTCTCACTCTGTCGTCCAGGCTGTAGTGCAGTGGCACGATCTCGGCTCACCGCAACCTCTGCCTCCCAGGCTCAAGCGATTCTCCTGACTCAGCCACACAAGCAGCTGGGATTACAAGCGTGCACCCCTATGCATGGCAAATTTTTTGCATTTTTAGTAGAGATGGGGTTTCACCATGTTGGCCAGGCTGGTCTCAAACTCCTGGCCTCAAGTGATCTGCCTGCCTTGGCCTCCCAAAATACTGGAATTAGGGGCATGAGCCACTGTGCCTAGCCAGTGACATTAATGTTTAAAGAAAGAATCTTCCAACTAAGGCAGACCAAATTCACACACACACATACACACACACACACACACACAGATCCATAGAGACCCATGGCGGGTTATATCCCACTCACCTCCCAGCAGGATCCTAGGAGATGGTATCACAGTCCCAGTACAAGAGACATTCCTTGGAAGAGGCCCCCTTCCCTCCAGCCATTTATCTCCCTTGGCCCCACAACTCCTTCTCCTCCTCATCAAAGCAAAATACCTGGCTTGAGTCATCTTTGTCTAAAACAAGAGTTAAGCTGAGCTTGCCTATTTCTCTTTCTAGTTGTTTTGTTAAAAAAATTAATTAAAAGGACACTGGGGCTGGGCGCAGTGGCTCATGCCTGTAATCCAAGCATTTTGGGAGGCTGAGGCGGGTGGATCATTTGAGGACAGGAGTTTGAGAGCAGCCTGACCAACATGTTGAAACCCTGTCTCTACTAAAAATACAAAAAATTAGCCAGGTGGTAGTGGTGTGTGCTTTTAATCCCAGCTACTCGGGAGGCTGAGGCAGGAGAATCACTTGAGCCTGGGAGGTGGAGGTTGAGGTGAGCTGAGATCGCACCACCGCACTCCAGTCTGGGTGACCAAGTGAGACTCTGTCTCAAAACAAAACAAAAACAAACAAAAAACAGAAAAGAGGACATTGGGCCTAGAGGGCTCCAATGCCTTGGGTAGGCAAACAAGCCTATTGTAAACAGTTAAATGAAACTTACGCAGAGCCAATCAGAAACCACTAACTTACTTCTAAGTAAGGGACTTTCCACTCTAACCAATCAAAGCCTAGCCTTGCCCTTGCTTCTGTAAATATCTTATAAATGGTTTCTTCTCTACCTCTGCACACCATATCCCCCCATGGAGTGCTGAACTGCCTACAATGGAGTCCTGCCTGATTGGTGAATTTACGAATGCTCAAAAAACTCATTAAAATTTTAATGTGCCTAAGTTTATCTTGGAACAGTTCTAGAGAGTCATCTATTTCAATTGATACTTTCTTCAGAATCTGTTTTGTCCTTGGCCTGCCCTGAGATCCATTCCTACGTTTTTCCTGACCTTCCTTCTACACGCTTGCATTATTTTGGCCTTTCAGGCTGAGATAGCCATGGGGAGGGACTTCTGGGAGCCTGGAGTAGGGAAGAAGGAAGCCAGGGGATTGTGGCCCCTGCTCTCTGGGGAAAGCAACTCAGCAGTGACCACCTCTTCTTGAACTCCTCAGGGGCTTCACTTTCCTCCTGACAAACCCTAGGCTCAGTGATCCCAGCTGCTGGACTCTGGAATACATCTTCTCCCTTTCCCTTCAGCCAGGGGTGGCACTTGCTACCTGCCTGTCACTAGATTTTAGATTGCTTCAAGTCCTATGTTAGCTTCAAAACATTTCCATCACCCATGTAACAAATTTCCTTCAACGTGGTTCCCTTAGATTTAAATTCAAATTTTTATTTTTATTTTGAGGTTAGAGTCTGTCCTACCATGTTGTCATCAAGTCCCGTTCATTTTGACTGATTTACTCTCACATCCTTATTGCCAGTCCCATAGCATGAGTGCCTTCCGAAGCAGGTAACCTTCCCAGCAACAACAGGGCCAGTGCCTGCCCCACTGGCCCTGCAGAGGCCCTTGATATAGCATTTTCCCAAGCCCTGCATTCATCATCTGTTCCAGAGCCTAACGTAATCAACACATAGCTGGCATTCATTGAACACTTTCTTTAAAGTGCCATTCACTCTGTTCGCACACTAAGGGCATTACAGACGTGATCTCATCTAATCCTTACAGCAACCCAACCAGCAAGTTGCTTTTGCTGTTGTCTTTTCCAGATGCGCAGAGGTTGTAGTTCTGCTCCCCTCCCCGTCAGGTTTGTGCTTTTTGCTATTCTCTACCAAGTCATGCATGTGTTCACCTCTGCTCCTTTGCATAGCATTCTCCATTTCTAAAGCTCGCTCCTTGGCACTAACCTCATTTAAATCAAACACATTTCTCTCTAAGTCCCTTTCTCTATGAAGCTTTCTACCTCGGAGAACCTTAACTCTGAACTTTAAGAGCAATGGTTCATACATTTGTTTTGCCAGAAAATATTAGATTCAACTGAAAACTTCCCTGGAAGTGACAAGTGGATAAAAAGCACTCCTCTGCTTTAAAAAGTCTCTCTCTCCAGTGAGGGACTGCATAGAATGGATTTTGAAAATAACTTTTAGGACCACAGATTCTCTAGGTCAAAGCTCTATAGCTGTGGACTTATGAGATATGTTACAAGTAATTTACTACTAATTAAACTTTCCATATCAAAGTTTGAAAATGATTTACTCCGCCATGCTTTTTAAAAACCTTCTTACAAATTGGGATAGATGTGGAGGTATATATCTTGCACGTGTTTTTCCTTTATTTAGCAAATTTAGAGACAGTGTTCTGAACTTGTCTCCTCATTGCTCCTTAAACAGAGCTCTGTGTAACAGATGCTGAGTACTAAATGCTTTTTTTGGAAAAGAACAGTCTGGGGGTCATTGTGGACACTTGCTGCTTTTGGCTGTCTAGCCTTCACTCCTTTTGCTTGGTGTCAGCCCACTCTCATCTCTTTGGGGGAACTTGCTTTCCCTCTTGTGTGTAGTGTTGGTGGGACATCAAATCAGGGTTCTCTGCCCAACACCAGTCAAGGAAGACTCATGTGATCTAAGCCAGGCTAACTGGGTGCTCTCACTGAGGAGAGTAACCACTGGTTAGAAAGAATGGAGTTCTTTTAATACTTATCAAATAGCTCCTTCTATCTCGACCCTGGGCCCGCCTTGATTCCTGTCCCCTTTTATTTTCTGGTTAAGTAGGCTTTCAGTTCTGAGAATTACCTGTTCCCATTCCAGTAAGTTTCTTTTGTCATAAGTTATAACCAGAGACTTTCCCTGTTGCTTACAACCAAATAACCTTAACAAGTAACGTAACTATCTTATAGATTCCAGCTTTAAGTGCCCCAGCAAAGACAAATCTGCTCACAACATGAGAAGGGCAGTGAAATCCTAGAATCCAGCTTGTTTTAATCCAGATGACTTGATATTTTAATCCAAAGATATTTGCTGGGGAACTGAAGCAGTGCACAACCATTTTTTTGCCATGTAAATCTGCACAACCATATGTAGCAGCATGGAAAGTCCCCTCCATTATTGAAGGCAGCTTGGATTTAATCCAATTCAATGATGTAGATACTGGAGTACGCATCCCCAGAAAAGGTGTGAAAGAGAGTAGGTCCAAAATATATGTCCCAGTTGGAAGTGGAAAACTTGGCTGAGTTTTGGAGCATACTCCTCTGAGTAGGAAACTTCCAAAGTTAGATTATGATGGTCCTGTTGTAACAGCACAAGAGAGGGAAATTGAGCCTTGGGAACCTGTATCAGCAATGTGGCATTTTTGGTGGATTTCCCTTCTGAACCTCTATTCCCTTCTCCACCTACAAGATTACCATATACAGATGGTCTTGATTACTTGCCACACTGGGGAATGCATTGGGAGAGTAAATTGATGGAAAAGCAAGTTCCTCCAAAAGATTATTGTGTTGGCCTGCATGGCACACACTCAATGATGGTTATTAGTTAACCCTGAGCACCAGCAATCTGTTCTGCTTAACTCCACCAATGGGGGCAGATGGGGCAGATGAGCCCATCCTGAAGGAAGACTTGTC